>NC_000015.10:36610207-36913237 GCF_000001405.40 Homo sapiens | reverse complement strand
ATAGCTAACATTTATTGAGCATCCACTCTAAACAGGAGACTGAGCTAGGCGCTAAGAACCGAGTAAGTCTGAGTTGGATGGTAGCAGTAAGCAGCTCATTCCAAATGTATACCAAATTTAAATATTAGAAACAACAGTATAGTTCTGCCTTAGAATTTAAATATACCCTTTGTGTTATTTTGTATGTCCATATATGGTATAACTGCCAAGGAGTTTTTCTTCTGCTGTATATAAGTTTTTGAGTGATTAACCAAAGGCAGGTGCGGACAGTGGAAACAAGCACTATTAAAAACCTTCAAGCCCTTCCACAGCCTGAGGGACGGGTACAACACACAGCACCATTTTCTGTTTACACTGACATCACTTTGACAGTTTAGCACCTTTTTTTTCTTTTTTTTTTTTTTTTCAGGAGTGGGGGGTGAGTAGCAAGTCTTCTGATTAGGAATTTTCAAAGACAAACTTACAAACAGAAGAAATAAAGTTTGCATTCCTTCATATATTTAGATATGACAGATTAAAAGCAAAGCAGGTATGCAGAGCATGTTTAATCTCTCACCAAGGTGGCAATCTCCAAATGCTTTGATGTCGCCTCATTGCAAGGCCCCTGAGACTTTTCCAGGAACCAAATTCATTGACTTTATGTGGCTTGCCCATCCCTTCTGGTGTTCAAAAAAGAAAGGAAAAGGTCCCTGCACCTTCTTGCCTCCTTCCTTTATTGTACAGTTTGCTTTGTTTGTTTGATTTTAAAACTGCCATTATGTGAAAGTGTTGCAAGTATAAATAATTGAGAAGATAACTCTGTAGGGAAACCACTTTTGCTGCCTTTGTGCAAAGGCAGCTCATTACGGCTCTAAGCTGCAGCATTCCATAAGAGCAATTATGCAACATCAGTATGTCATGGATATTAACCAAGGGGAGTAGATAAGAGATAGGAAAATAATTTTGTAACTTATTTAATTAAATGTATTTGGTTTTTCAAATAGTTCCTCTTGTGTGTAATTTACCCAGCCACTCCATGGTTGCTGTGGTCTTTGCAGGACTGTTGTCCAGCATTTGTTTTTGGCATTCCTCCTCACTTTTGTGTGCACCTAAAATGTATTTATATTGGGGTTTAATTTCCACCCAAGGAGAGGTTACCCATGAAAATGGAACCATAATTTGGTCATGAGGTTTTTTTATCCCCCCTAGGGCTTATATAGCCAGTTAATATATGTTAATACAACAAAGTGAATAAAAGGTTAAATAAGTGGGTCAGGCTCAGAACGAGTCCTGTACTGCTTACTTCTGCTTAAACAGAAGGAAAAGCCCATAATGGCGCTTGCCTGACTTTCACCCCCATCATTTTAAGAATTGCTTTGCCAATTCTTCACAGCAAATAGTAATTTTAAGTGGACCAAAACAGAGCTCAGGGTGTTTGCACTCCATGGTAATAATAGAGTAGCTGTGCTCCCTGGAGTCAATAAGCCCAACAATTGAGTCATTTTTGCCTCCTGTGAGTGAATCACTGCTGTTAGCCTGAATGACAGGATTGCTTATAGAACCAGAGCCCTTCGCCGGGCTGACCTCATCTCGGGACAGCGAGGTTCAGAGGGCAGGCAGGTGGTGTTTAACACAGTTATAAGTAAAAGCTGATTTTGTACTTGTAAGCTCTGTAAACAAGAAAGTAGAATTGATTGGGAGTGTTTGATGTACATTGCTATACATTATCCAAAGCAGCACTTCCTCTTTTCCTGTCTCTTTCCTCTTCTCATTTCTCCTTCCTCTTAACATTGTCCCTACCTCCTCCTACCTTCTACATGCATGTGTCTCCAACACATGTAACAGACATGCTAAAGTTAGATGGCCACACACAGCTCAGTCACAGTTCTGATTAATGAAACATCCAGAAGGTATTGAAAATATATATGTATATATGTGATATGTATGCATATATATGTATATATACATACACACACACACACACACACGTTATTCTTAAGATTATTCTTCGGTTTCAAACAGCTATTTTGAAGCAGACATTTTAGGCATAGTAAAATACCCAATGATCTTTTTTTTAAAAATATTTCATTGAGTAGGAAAAATATGAGAAAAGTAAGGAAAGGAAAAGGTAGAGAAAACATTTAAGCCTAATATAATTCCCTAATAATCAAATTACCTTTGAGATAGAAAAGTTCTTTTTTTTTTTTTTTTTTTGAGACAGAGTCGCGCTCTGTCACCCAGGCTGGAGTGCAGTGGCGCGATCTCAGCTCACTGCAACCTCCGCCTCCCGGGCTCAAGCCATTCTCCTGCCTCAGCCTCTCGAATAGCCGGGAGTACAGGCGCCGCCACCATGCCTGGCTAATTTTTTGTATTTTTAGTAGAGACAGGGTTTCACTATGTTGGCCAGGCTGGGCTTGAACTCCTGACCTCGTGATCCGCCCGCCTAGGCCTCCCAAAGTGCTGGGATTACAGGCGTGAGCCACTGCGCCCAGCAAGAGATAGAAAAGTTCTAAAGAACCTTTTCAGCCACAGCACATTTTAGGGGTCAAGGTGTCATATTTGGGGTAGTCATGGGGTACTTATGAACAGGTTAGATATAAACAAGAGCCCTACAAGTGGTTCTTCATCTCTGAATCTGACTTGGGGAAATCTAAAGATGGAAAGAAAGCCTATTTTTAAGTTGATAAAAGGCTTAAAAATATAATTTATGTTAAAAATTAGGATGCCGCTTCATTTTCTTTTCACATCCTTGGAACCCGAGTGCCCCTCAAAATCTGAACAACTAGAGTCAGGAATTAATTTGTACCATCACCTTCTCTTGGAGATCTGTAATATATATCACTCTATTAAAGGCTGTGACACAATCTGCAGCAGAGAAAGTGACTTCACTTTGATTACCTTCACATTTGTTTTCTCCATATTTTTTTGACCTAGGCCCCTATTCTGGGGAAATACCTATTGACTAGAGTTCCTCAGAGCACATTTGGGAGCAAAATGTGCTTACAAAGATATCAGAAAAAAATATTTTTAAAAAGCTTTTTGTTTTGGGGGTTGAGACAAGTTCTGGCTCTGTTGCCCAGACTGGAGTGGAGTGGCACCATCTCGGCTCACTGCAGCCTCCACCTCCTGGTCTCAGGCGATCCTCCCACATCAGCCTCCTGAGTAGCTGGGACCACACAGATACAAGCCACCATGCCTGACTAATTTCTTAAGGTTTTCGTAGAGATGGGGCTTCATCATGTTGCCCAGGCTGGCCTCAAACTGCGCGGCTCAAGCAATCCTCCTGCCTTGGCCTCTCAAAGTGCCTCTATTTCTCCTTTGTCTCCTTTCCTTTCTGAGTCTCACAAATCTTCCTCCTTCGCTTTCTATTCTCTATCCCTCTCTCCTAACACCCCCCACCCCCACCCCCACACACACACTCATAACACCTCATTGATCTCAGTTCTCATTCCTCTCCACTTGAGTCAACTGCCCCATCATCCCCAGTACAGTTATGTCCCGGACTGTGCATATTGCCTGCCAGCCTAGAAAAGCCAGAGGCCCAATTTCTTCCAAGTCACATCTGCACCCACGATTTACCTGGCCTCTCTAATGCCCAGATAGATTCGCACCTTTAACTAATACCTCTAGTCTGTATCTTGAGTTGTTTGTGAGTACAAAAATAATTAGACCAGTGCCAGAAAGCCTGAGTTATTTCCCACCTTAGTTCTGTCCCGCTCCAGGGCAAATCATTTCATCAAGGATTCAGCTGTGCCTCTTATAAAATGAGAACAAGAAAATCCTTAAACTCAGGGCTCTTTTATTCTCAATTCTAAGTTATATCCGAGATGAAGGAACCCTATTTTCATTCACTCATTTAGTTATTCACTCACAAACATTTTATTGAGGGTGTACTATATTCCTGACGCAGTGTCAATAATAAAACTTAAGATGTGGCCCCTGCTCTCTAAGGCTATCTAGTAGGAAAGTCAGACGAGTAAATCACAATTGTGAATAAGTACTGTGTTGGGCATATTAGCTCGGTGCCACTGAGGAAGTGCTTCTTAATCAGACTTTGGAACCAGGGAAGTTGCCTCAAAGAGATTTCTGTGATAAGCACTTTGAAGGGTGTGTTAGCCAGATGGCCATAGCAGAAAGCCCAGCCCAGGCCAAAGGAATAGTGTTGTCCTGGTTAGTTAGCACATTAACTTTAAAAGTATTAATTGCTTTTTGTTTATTTGTACGTTACCTGACTCTAAAGAATCTGTGGCAGTTAAACCAAGTACTAAATTAAGGTTTTGTTGTTGTTGTTGTTTTGTTATTATTATTATTATTATTTTGAGATGGAGTTTCACTCTTGTTGCCCAGGCTGGAGTGCAATGGCGCCATCTCGGCTCACCACAACCTCCGCCTCCCAGGTTCAAGCGATTCTCCTGCCTCAGCCTCCCGAGTAGCTGGGATTGCAGGCATCCACCACCATGCCCGGCTAATACTTTTTTGTATTTTTAGTAGAGACGGGGTTTCTCCACGTTGGTCAGGCTGGTGATCCGCCCGCCTCGGTCTCCCAAAGTGCTGGGATTACAGGTGTGAGCCTCCGTGCCCAGCCAAGTTATTTTTTGATAGTGTTGCTACTTTATCTGCATTGTGAAAGTGGAAATAGAAAATAGAAATGCCATCATTTCTATTTCTAAAAATTAAGTTAAACCACCTTAGGAAATTCTGATAGGAGATGTGAAATCTGAATATGCTGTAAAAATTCTTTCAAATTGCCGTACAGTGTGTTTGCTTTTTTGTCTGTTGTAGATGACGGCTTTGTGGGTAATGTCAGAATCAAAGGTTGATGTCTCTATTTCTCACAAATCGGGGGGAAAATCCACTAACTAACCCTCTAAAGCTAAAATATTTAAGGACTAAAGCAGATGTGGCATAACTGCTGGTTTGCTAGGTCTCTTGTGGTTTATAAAGATATATTTTATGTCTTTTATGATTACGGGATGATGCCGAAAATTTTGGGGGTAATAATACCGTCACATTGGAAAGACTGCGTATAACATCTCTGGAGAAGATACAGAATGCCACCCGGCTGTCAAATCAAAGTAAAAGATGTTTAATTTGTCATTAAGAAAAGGCAGTCAGGAAATTTTATTTGGAATTTGGTCTTTGATATGTGAACATCATAAATGTGAGGATATTAAGTCATGTATTCATGAATAGATTTTTTTTTTGCTTTCTGACATAATATAATATGTTTTCATAATAATTTTTAAAGCTATTGTTAGATGCGTAGCTGTTAGAACTATAATTTATTTAAAGTGAGTTTTAAAATTGTTTAGATCTTTGATTTTTTTTTCCCCATTGGCACCTTTACTAGATGCCAGTATAAACTGGTTAAATAGCATTTGGTTTAAACAGAAAGAATATACGTATGCATATTTATGATATTTTGTTTGTTGGATCTTTTTCTTAATATTACTTGACTTTCTGTGTTTTAATCTCATTTTTTCATATTTTGGGTTGAAGCCACTCTAAAGTTTAACACCTAGGAGATTTCTCACTTATGGTTCCCTTTAAAAGTGCTAAAATCTCAGCCTCTCAAACAAGAGACCAAGCTACAATTTAAAGAAAGCGGTGGTATTGATAAAGGGCCCTAAGAATGTTGCCACCTTCCAAATGTGTCCTCTGCCACATCCTTTCTTTTAAAGCAGCAGGAGAATTGAGAGGAGGATAAGAGCCTGGTCCATCCAAACACTTCTGGCATGCCAATCTGGTCTTCTGAAGTATCCCCTGCTGCTTTAGAAAAAAGAGATCCCCAGACAAATGAAAGGCCCACGGGGACATTCACATGCACAGCACCTTCCCTCCAAGTGGCTTTAGATTGCCGGTGTGTTGGGGTGGTTTGGCCTGAGTTGAAGAATAGAGACTTGAGAACCATTTGTTTCCACACCATTTTGGGTGAAGTGCTATATTTTTCACCTTAAAAGCCCATTTAAAAAGAAAAATATGGTTTGAAAGGAGGACACAATTTGGAAGCCATCACACTTAATGGAGGCCCTTTTAAATGTAACACTTTGTCCTATCAATTCTCTTCTAAATTAGTTGTCACTACCTGGAGAAAACCCACCCTTGATTGTTTTATGCTATTGCTTAAAAATACATAGTCTTTTATATAGATTTTCCTATTCCAGTTTTAAAAACTCTCTGATAAGTTCCATTACTAAACTTACTTTCGTTAAGTAAGGAGTGGAACGTAATTTGTGTAGCAACACCCAGTGTAACATGTATGTAATTATCATTGGCCTCTAAATCTAGTTGCACAAATTAACTCAAAATGTAAAGAAAAAGCGAATTGGTCCTATTAGAAACAAGGCCTTGACCACAGAGGTTTTTACTAACAATCGACTTGGCCAGTCATGGTCAGATAAAGAACTTCCCAAAATTTACAGGATAATTTGGAAGAGGAAGGAAGTAATTTTTTTGGAGGTAGCCAGCAGGCAGTTTATCCTGTTACCTACTCCTGCAGCTCTGGAATATTCATGTAGCTTGGAAAATAGGAAGAAATTAGACGTTTTGAAGTTAAGTCCCTACCTTTTGCTCTTCTTTTGTCCTTGTTTTTTTTTTTTTTTTTTTTCTTGAGTGGCTGACATACTTTGTCAGCCTGAAAGTCCTATTGTCAAACCAAAGGTAACATTTGAAAAATTGAGTTTGCCTCTTCCCACCACAACAAATAGGAATTTCTCATCTATTTCCAATTTTCATCAACTATACACCGTAACATACTAAACATAAATTCTCAGACTTATCCTCTTAATATCTTTTGTATTTGTATCTCTCCTTTTTCATCTAAGTTTAATTTATCAGCAGTTCTCCCAACCAAATACCCTACTTCTTTTTCATTTCTACCACCTTAATCAGAGCTCGTTTTGTTTCCCTCTTCTGCCTGGATTGGACAAGAACTTTCCATCTTCTCAGCTTCTAGATTCTCATCAGTTCAGTTCATCCTATACATAGCTCTTGGAAAGATCTTCCTCAAACACCATATTTTATCATTCTACCATTTAGGAATTTCAAGAATTCAATTTATCACTCAAGAACCTCTACCAGATTGCGTGTTAATCATAGCCATGTTTTCCAGATCGAAGCTGGGAGCCAGTCAGAGTTCAATTCCTTTATCCTCCCTTGCACAACATCGGCCCCGGTCTGGACTGGTGCTTTACAGCATGCCATTTCCTTGTTTTCTCTTCTTCCAACATTCCACGTTCTTTTAATCTGCTTCAGCTTTCTTCCTCCAAGAATTTGAAATTAATCTTTATCTTTAACTTCTTTAATTGACTTCATGACACTTATTTACTGACTATGGACTATTTTGACTTGTAATTATTTGTGTGTTCTCCAATTGTGATTTTCAGTTTGTTTCTGTGGGTGTGGAAAATAAAAATCTTTAAAGGCATAACTTGCATTTTCATATATATGGAGAAAGAAACTCATATAACTATATATGTATGTATTGATAATTTTATATATAACTTTGTCTTATATTCTGTCATTAAATTTGTCTTATGTGAAGTATAGAATATGGAAGATTTACCAATGTGTGACACATAGATAGATTACTATGGACCTTAAAAATTATTTGGTCTAATTTTTTTTAGGATTAAAACAGGATGAAAATAAGCCTTACATTATATCTGCTCCTTTATACCTAGCTTTACCTTCCGCCCTCTTCCCATGCCAAACCCAGTCTCTCATTGGGAAACACACACACATGCCCCTAGAGAAAGCATCTATGAATACAATTCTGTGAACGTGGAGGAGGTAGGTGATTAGTAACTTTTGACTGGCCAAAGGGTGATGTAGGTTAAAGCAAGAAATGAGGGTGAGAAAAATCTCTGTTCCCCTAGATAGAGGGGAAGGGAGCAAACACTAGAACATGGCATGATTGAGTATAATAGAAGTGAGAATGTTTAGCAACCATTCTTTTCTCCTTTGTTTCTGGCATTTCCACCCCTCCCCACCCCCCGACAAAATTCCTGTCTTTGATCTATGCAGTAATATGTCTAAATATCCTAGAATTGGTAACTCTGTCTGTATGTATGTGTGTATATGTGTCTGTGCGTGTCCTTATCACCCCTACTTCAGCAGCAGCACAGAAAACTGAGCCAGGTGTTAATGAATTCATCTCTGGCAAAGTTTATTGCTCTGTGTGTGTGTGTTTCCATGCATGTACATGTGCACACACACACACACAATACACATACATATACCTACATACATGTGGCTGATGACTTCTCACAGTGTATCTCAAAGCATTATTGCATGTCCCACTTGGTTGATAGGGCATCTCTAGCCTGACAGATTTATCTGTTGAGAACAGGATTATGCATTTGAAACCAGTTTAATTCTTAGCAAGACAATGCACATGTCTTATGTAGATTTTGTTGTTGGTTTTTTTCTCCTTCGTAAGTTACTCGGGGAAAGTCATGTCAATATAAATCAGTGGTAATGAAATCAACATTATAGCATCTTTGATAATGCATTTGCTAAAGCCTTTCTGGACGTTTACCCAGCTCTCAATGATTGATATTACAGGCAGTGGATAAACATTTTTGATGGATCTGTTTGCTCACAGATAAAAAAAAAAAAAGAAGAAAATGTAATCCTTTTATCTCTTTGATTCAAAGAGTGTAATGCCATTGGAAAGGAAGCAGTTCAAATGTGGTCATCATAGGTTGGTGGCACCAAAAATAGAAACTCACTTAGGGTAAAATTTGCTGTCAGAAAAAATGGAGCATTCTTTCTGAACTCAGGAGCGTGTGGTTCATGCGAGCTTCCTTGTAGATGGTTGCTACAATAAGGCTTCTTTCATACAGGTGTGTTTATGCCCCAGGCTTGCTGGCCACAGTCCATTCCATTTACAGAAGCTGAATTAAACAATAACTACTGCATTGCAAAAAATGGTGGGGGTGGGAGGAAGGGGAGGGGGAAAGGTGAGCGTCAAAGGAGATGCCTGAGAGCTTTGTTAGGGCCAAGAAAAACCCTGTTGCAGTTGTCAGAGCTTGTTGATGTTGCTGGGAACGGCACTTTTTTTTTCTCCTGGATTTTGTGGTTCTGCCTTAGGAAAGAAAGTAAAATAGAACGGAAGAACAAAGTCCTACTCTATAAATCAGCAGCTGCTCCTTGCCAGATCAAAGGAGTGACATTTTTGCTCCTGGACTACTTGTCCACTTGAGGGCTTGACAGGCAGCTAACAGCTGGCCTGCTAGACTGTATGGGAGAATCAGCCTACATCTTCTTCTGAGCAGATGACAAGCTAATCAGAGACATATCCATAGCACAGGGCATGTGAGTGCACCTTGATCTCTTCAAACATATCTAATACATAATTGCTAAACAGCTTGGTGCATTTTTGGCCAGTTAATGCTTAGGTGGTTTCCATTAAGAAGTAGGATAGAGAATTAATACTTCAATCAAAGGTGATCATGAAAGCTAAAAAGCTACTAGATTTGTTGGGATCTTTTCCTCTTACAGTAAAATGGCTAGGAACATAATGGGAGTTGGCTAAGAATGTGTGCAACTGATTGTGAAGTGACTGGTTGATTTGCAAAGCCAGGTCAGGCTACAGTGCTCAGATACAGAATAGGTAATTAGAAATCAGTAGTTTTGAAAATGATTGTGCCTGCTTTTTATGTTGATAGAGTTAAATAAACTTGTAGGTGTACCTTCTGTGTCTGCAAAAAGTTATTTTCAGAAGCACTGTAAGGTGTGTAGGTATCCAGATCTGGAATTTTAATGTCAGTAGTAAAAGTTTCAAAGTAATTCAGTTTCTAGTTGACTTCCATCTGCAATAAATCATGTACAGGATGAGGTAATATACTACAACTTATGTCTATTGACTTAGGATTTTATCTTTAAGAGGATAGATCCTAGATGTGAATAGCTAAGGAAGTTTGAGTGTTTTCTCCTCCCTTGCTTTCAAATAGCTTTGAAAGATCACTTTTATAGTGCATGATAAATAGCTACATATGAATAATCTGATGGCATTCTGTAAGAGTAACAGTGCTTCAAAATCGTAACCTGCTGGGATGTTTTGTTACATGCCATCAAGTGTGATTGTATTCATGGAATAGTGTTTACTGTTGCTCAATATTGTAAAGGAAATAAAAGATAATTCCCTATCTGAGGGGAAATTTCTCAAATATTTTAATTAAAAGGTCCCTACAGTTACCCATATAAACCTTAGTCAAATAAGATAACAAATTTTCTTGATCTCCTTTAAAAATTCTTTTATGTATAAAAATAATTATATTTATTAAAAACTCCAACAGTACAGAATTATTTGGAAAAAAAGATAGAAATCTACCATTCTCCTATCCATGCCTGAGAGATAGCCTCTGTTAACAGTCTTCACAAAAACATTTTACTGGCCCAGCTTTTCCTTTAAGAGGTACAGATGGAGTACAATAAATTAAATTATTATAAAGTGTTTATTGCCCAAGGCAAGTGAGTAAAAGGCTGTTTAGATCTAAGATACCTAAAGAGAAGAGTATGTGCATTTTTTTGCAGCTGAGATTCACAATTAAAACTTGATCTTTGCAAGTTTCTATTCTTAAGCAGAGCACTAGAATTTGATATGTGATCTAGAGCAAGGCTTCTCATACTTAAATGTACATAAATCCCTTGGAGATCTTTTAAAATGCAGAATCAGATTCAGTAGCACAGGAATGGGGACGGTAATGTATTTCTGCATCTCTAACAAGCTCAAGGTGATGTTGCTACTGGTCCATGGCACACATGTAAAGTAGCAAGGATCTAGAGAACCATACAGAGAGTGTGATTCCAAAAGAGCTCACTCCCCTATCCACCTCCCACCCCTGCAGGCAGATGCCTGCCCCAGTGTCTAAAATCTCCACCATAGCATTGTACATTTGGATTAAACTCCGATTTTTAGAAAGATCCGGCGATATGAACACACGCTACCTGTAGGAGTACAACACAGTTATTACCCTGTGGCCAATCCAGCATAGATTTGTTTAACAGCCACCCACCTATTCCTAATTACTATCTATGAGAGAACAGAGCTATTTAGGAGCATTGGATAGGTGCATTTTGACTGTAAGCTAACATTTAATGAGCTTGCTATGTGCCAGGCATTGTGCTAAGGATCTTGCATACAAAATCTCCCTCAATCCTCAAAACCACCCAGGCCCAGTTATTTCCTCAGTTTACAGATAGGAAACAGAGTGAAGCTTGGGAAGGTTAAGAAGAACTGTCCAAATTCACACAGCAAATAAAGGGCAGAGGACATGAGCCCATGCTCTTCACCGTATTGCTCTATGCATAAGTCTGGAGTATACAACAATAATGGAGAAGGGCATGCTCAAAGTAGAGTATTTTAGTAAAGAACCTCCAGGAGCCCTTGTAACTTTAGGGAAGAATTAGATGAAAGTAAGAATATTGAAAGAAGACAGTAGAAGGCCATCACTTACTTGATAATTTTGTCCAGGGCCTTTTATGTCAGCATGAACACTCCATTATTCAAGCCATATTCATAAAGGTACAAAATGTTGTGATTCCAGATTAACATCATGTTTTTATATTATAAATTTATTAGTATTTAGTTCATGTGTTTTTAAAGGTGTAGGCAAATCTAGTATTCTATCAAATTATAAATCAAACTATTGCTTAGGGAAATTCATTATGATCCATGAGTCTGTCCCTAAGTAACATATGAATCTCATTCATTTACCTTACTTTGCTCACGGTTGTCTGTGAGAAAGGAGCCATTGTCTGGTCACCAGTGGAAAACTTATGTCTGCGACATGACTCCATCATTTGCGTGCCCAAGTTCATCTTCAAAGGCATTAAGCTTGCCTTATTCACTGATTTAACCATTTTAATGTATCTTACTGAGAAAATCCTACTCTCAGCTGTAACCATAGCACAGAGAAATACTTGCTTTTTTTGTAAAGTAAGAAAACATGGAGAAATTTGATAAGTGACTTGCCAAGGCTGAAGTTTCATCATTTGAAACACCAGCCAGGAGCAAGTGCTGTGAATAAGCACTGTGGCTGATGGGTCCCAGGGCTGGGGACAGTAGGGAAGCAGGGCCTTTTCATGTTTTAACAGGTCCCCGGTCACTGAGCTACCTACGCCTTTCCCCAGTTGATCTGATCTCTCTTCAACGGTTCAGTCCCCTTCCCTGCGCAAAGCAATCCATGCAGAATCTTCAATTCCAGCTATTCTTGATTCCTCCTCAGAGTGTTCAGGGATGGCAGCTTTCCAGGTAACTCCATGGAGGCCTGCACTTTCTAACAAAAGGAATGCCTCCAAAAGGAGTTGGTTACCAGGTGTGGCATGAAGTTAGTGAACCAGAAAGAAGGGATTTATCCGCCATTTAAAAAGATTGGGGGGTGGAGAAAGAAAGGAATAAAGAAAAGAAACCAACAACAAACAGGAATGACACCTAAATCTACTTCTATCAATCTGAACCATACTTCGGAGTAAAAAGTCTTTAAAGAAAAATCATGATGGTCAGAGTTCAGTTGTAGAAAAGTATGCAAAGCTACCAAGTTTAGACTTTCTGAGGACAGGAGAGGTCTCTGGGAAATAGCTCTTCAGCAAGGCAGTAAGATGAGATTACAGTGATATTTGCTACCTTGGGTTTATTTGTTTTAATGTATTTTTTCATCTCTGAGTTGAGTCAGAAAGGCCTCGTGATTCTTGGAACATCATTGAATTTATTTCTATAATTAAGTTATTTTTAAACTAACAGTCTTAGTATATAATTTTTAAGGATCACACATACTCATGCATTTTCTACTTAAGTAAAATTTAGAGAAAAAGTAGATAGTCTTAGTAGATACTCTCCCAAGCTTTTGTATGGGCCTGGATACTAACTTTGTGTTCAATACAAATCAATGGAACTAGGGCTCTTTAGGGTATTCATTCCCTAAGGACTCACTAATGAAATTATGTGTAGCCCTTTAAAAAAAGTCACAATGAGGCTAATGAAAATTTTTTTTCTAAGTGAAATCTAGATAGAGCTAGACACTAAGCTTACTGGTACATTTTATGGACAAGTTGTAAAAAAACTCAGAATGTTTTTTAAGAACTGTTTAATATTGAAGAAGACTTTGTAACTTAAATTGTTTAAACCGATAGAAAAGTAGATTATATGCCTGCAACTTCGAAATCATTCTGGTATGACATTAAAACTTAGAGAATTTTTTAATATCAGATACAGATGAAAAATCTAACAGTCTTTGGATTGGAAATAACTTGTGGGGGTTTTCATTAAAGTTGGGTGCAGCTTGCTGCATTTTGGTTAGTTGGATGTCTTCAGCAATTTTTCAAATGTTTTGGGTTTGGCAAAGTCCAAAATGTTTTTTGCCAAGACCCTCTTTTCCCCTTATTTTTTAAACCCGTGTGAAATTCAAGGATAACTTAATCCATATGTGTCTGATTCATTTACACTTAACTCATCAAAATGTTATTTTATAAGGCCCATTTAATATCCATGGAACCTTTTGAGTCTTTTTAAGACAAGTCTTTTGTCTTTGAACCAGCAAGTTACATTTTTCCATATGAATGGAGCCTGAACCTTGAAAGACTGAAGATGAGTTGATTTTCAACTTAGCTTCTTCAAATTTTACGTAAAATCAAAGCTTGATATTCTATTTACTACTTGAGCATTGAAAAAGGTCATTCTAAAAAATATAGATTAGAAGATGTGGAAAAAAATTTATTTCATGTAATTTTGAGAAAAGACCATATATGGAAATTTCATCTTACAAATATTAAATAAATAAAAATTATTTCTAGTTTGATTTGTTTTAGTCTATAATTTAAATGGCTCCATGTTATGTATGTCAGTGTATTTTCTAAGAGTGGCCTCTGAGTCATCAGTACTGGTAGGAGGCGGTAATTTCATTTTTTAATGTCAGGGTTTTCTTACAGTCAGCTCATTAATTGTTAATTTTCATAGTAATATCTATGATGTCAATAAAATATCCCAAGATCAGGGGAATTGACAATTGGCAGGAGTTGCATGTTAAGAGATTTCTGAAAATTTGGGGCCCATATGTTTTTAAAATTCTGTGTGATTTGAAAGAATGTGGTAGAATTATGAATCTGTCAAGAAATAGCACTATGGATCAAAAACATTGTTTGAGAACAAAAATCCAGAGAGGCTAAATGGTGCCCAAGTGAAAAAAGCAAAATCTCTGTGACCCTTTTTAAAAGGACCTAGTGAAAACCTTCAGAGGCTTCTATTCATATTTGCTTAGGAGAAGTGGGTAAAGAAAGGCCATTGCCATAACTGCTAGTGAACATCCAGTCCATGCCATGGTAACTAGTTGAAAATGTTATACTGGAGTGGCATTTCCAAGTTCAGTGCTTCTATAAAGACCTGCTAGCTCACAGAATGCTTTTTTAATGTTCTGCATTGTTGTGTGTCCCCCATTGAACAACCTTTTGAGCGGACCTCGTTTTTACTAATGTAAACATTCTGACTAGTATCCAAAGAAATGACCTTTGAGTGAACCTCTAACCTTCCCCGTAAGTATTTGTTTGAAGACAGTGTGGAGTTCTCCTGCTGAGAACTAAGAACCATGATGCCTTGCAGCTCTGTGAGTAAGGGAGTGTTTGGGGGAACTGGAGAGAAAGACATAAATAAGGGAACAACCTCCAGATGTAAAGAATAAAAGAGTGAAATTAAAAAGGGAAAAAAATAGCAATTCGTTTTACCCGAAGAGTTAGCCTATACCGAAAAAAAAATAAAAATAAAAAACGCAAAACACAAAAACCAGGATTAGTAGCACATAAAAGGGGGTAAAACCCCTGCCGAGTGTTGTCCTCTATTAGAAACTTCAAGGAGAAGAGCCTTCTCTGACCCTCCTGAGCATCTCTGCTGGTTTCAAGGTGAGCTGATAAAAACGGTTCCTGGGGTGGAAATATCAGGTCAGTCCTCCTTGGTTGCTGTAAAAGTGGTGGGGAAAGAGTAGATAATTAAGTTCTTTTTCTGATTGGAGGAGGGATGCTTCTGGAAGTCTTTGTGATCTAGTCAGATATTCATTCCTCAGCAACATTTCAGGTGACAGGTGGGAAGAAAGATGCAGTTTCAACTCTCCTTTTGTTTTCACCTCTACATAGCTGATCACTTTCTTTTTTGACAACTGAGCTACACTTTCTTAAGTAATAAAGAAGTCCATTGTTTTGCAAACAAACACCATATGCAAAAGACTCCTTTGGTTTTCTCCCAGCTATTATTCCTCAGCTTAATTGTATTCCCACCAGAGTGCTCACAGGAGGCCCGACCGAGTGGGGCCTGACTGTCCTCCTCCAAAGGGACTTCAGCTTCCTCGGAACACAGAGCTGCCAGCACACACTGAATTTTTCTGGCTAATTTCAAAGAGTGAGTTTTCAGTTCCTGCCTGTGGCCCCAGGTGGACTCATTAATCATGAAGTCCCCCTGTGCTTAAGATCTGAAACTGGAAATATTGACAGATGTTATCAATGGGTATATTTTTAGGGAGAAGCTAGCTGGATGCTCCCTGCTCCTCCGAAATGCGTGGTCAGTGAATCGTGTGCATGAGCTCAAATGTGTGGGGAATACACGTCGTTAAGTGCACAGGGACAAGGGTAACTCACAAATGGTAGAAAATTGTTTTGTTTTTATTAAATTTGGAGAAATAAAGGAGATTTCTTATCATCTTACTCTGTTTGTACATGAATATTTGATGGGCATTATTAAACATTAAAGTAACATGAAGTAGGCACTTATTTTTGGATTTCCAACAAAATTAGATCCAGGCTTCTTAGATGAAATAACTGCTTCTCCTTTGCATTCCTGCGATTCAGCCACCACCTGATTTGCAAACGTTTCTTGAGCTCTAATATCAAACATGTGTACCTGAGGCTCTGTCTTTCTAGTGGGTTGAAAGGTGGCTGGGTTTATGGTTGGCAGTTACCTTATCCTCTGCCCTGGGTGTCCCAGCTTAGGCTGGAAAGGCTGCCCCCAGCTGGCACTGACCTCTGAATGACCCCTAACTTTACAGGCTTAAACTGCAGGAGTTGCCGAAGAGCAGAAGTCTTTCTGGCCAGCACTTATTACTGCTGTGTTGGTGATAAAACTTCAGACAGCCTAATTGATGGCTTTGCTGACCTAACAATACCTTGTGAAAGCCGAGTGCTAGAGCCTGGTCTCCATTTATGACCAGCTGCAAGGGGAAGCTGGGTCTCCCTATCACGGGGAGTCTAGGGAAAGGGGGAAAGTCTTCCAGCCTGTGAACTTTAACCAGATTCCTACTTGTGCAAGAAGCAGAAGCACAATTTGAAGTTAATAGAAGCTTTCTCATGGAGAACTTTATTCCGTCCCTGAGCTCTTCTAGCAAGTTGTTTTGGAGTTGACTACGCAGTGACGACGGAGATTACCCAGTCAACTATTTTTGAACGCTGAAAGGGAAAATCACCTTTAAATTGAAAAGATAATTTTCAGAAGAGATTTGACTGTATTTTGTGCTCCTCAGCATTCATGCAAAGGTGTTCGCAGAGTACAGAAACGGAGTATGATGACTGGACTTCTCTGTTCTCTTTCAGGTTTATTAATGCCAGAAGAAGAATAGTACAGCCCATGATTGACCAGTCAAATCGAGCAGGCAAGTTCCAAGTAGTATCTATATTTATGTCCCACAGGCACAAATCCTCATCAAGTTATACTCCAGTAGTTTCCTCATCTGATAAATAAGTGCTTCCACCAGGCATTCTGGATTTTTTTTTTTAATGTCCCCAGAATCCCACTCAAGGAAGCAACTTCAGTAAGTGGTGCTAATTGGAGATTTCCCACCCTGACTCTACTGACACTGCTTTTTATTTTCTTTCTGAATTGGTAATTGGGCACAGGTATTAATGCCACAAGCAGCGTGTTTGTGAGCTCTGGCATTACCCCTTGCTTGTCTGCATCCAATCATTAGCACACTCTCATTTTTCTGTTACCCACAGCTCCTTGGTGTATGCTAGGCTTTCCTTTCTGTAGCATCTGCTGTTAAACTTATTGTATCCATTCATTTGCTTTGGCTATTCATAATATCCTATTAAAGCCTGACTTGCTGCATTGCCACCATTATTTTTTATTAAAGAATATTACCTTTGTATAAAATGCTTCACATCCATGCTGCTAAAATACATGTGAGCTTTTCTCAGAATTCTCTCAATTTCTCTAAAACAGTTTTTGTATGGTACTATCAGAACCCTCCTGGTATACTCCAAGTCGTTTTATTTTGAAACAGACATTTCCTCAGTTTACTGAGGGTTTGTGGTCTCCTGCAATAAGGCTTATAGGGAAAAACAGTTTTCCTTGGGGTGATGACTGCTGCCACTAACAACGGTGTTAAACTTGATGGAGATTTTACCTGTGGCCTCGCTTTAAAGGATTTGTGAAAATTAGTCATCCTTTGGCAAAATTTCCCCAATAACGCCAAAATATGTTCCCACTATTGGAGGCTAGGGAGAAGAACATAAAACAATGGAAATATTATATTTACTAAGTTTATATTTCCTTGGTGTGAATAAAAAGGCAAGCTTTTAATTGAGTCTATTTAACCTTGTGAAATTGTATTCAGGTTTAAAATGTTTGTGTAAAATATGAACATTTTGTATTAAGCCACCAGAGATGGCAGCCTCAGAGAATCCCAACCAAATGGTACATTGCAATATTTGTATATGGGGTACCCCTAACTTCTCCAGCCTTCGTCCCCCTAATCAAGAGATAAGTAAAAAAGCAAGGGCTGCAGAGGACGAACCCCCTGGGAAACTGGCCAGTGAAGTCTTTCTTCCAGAACATTTTTAAAGCTACTCACACACCTTCACTCAGTCATCAAGACACTCAGACAAACCACACCCCCATTTGTAGAGTGCCAACCACATTGTTGCTATAACGTTTCAGTGCTGCAGCGGGAACAATTGCTGATTGTTTGGTATATCTTTTCTTCTTTCTCCTCTGTGTCCTCGAATGACCACAATCAGGTTTTCTTCTTGATCCTTCAGTGAGCCAAGGAGCAGCATATAGTCCAGAGGGTCAGCCCATGGGGAGCTTTGTGTTGGATGGTCAGCAACACATGGGGATCCGGCCTGCAGGTAGGTTGGCTCATCCCGCCTCTGGGCTTCCCTGGGAAGTGCCACCTGCTCCACCAGCCTCTCCATCCACTCTACTATCCCACTGTCATGGTGGGTTTAACATTTGCCTGCTGCCTGCTCTGCCTGCTTTCTTTACATTGGGTGGGGGAAAAAATTCCTCTTTGAAAAAGTAAAGATTTTACCACAGTACCATTATACTCTGCCCCATACACATCCTTTTTCTTTTTTCTTTTTAAACCAAGGCAATAAGTGAAAAGGAATCTGAGTTTCCTTCTATTTTTTCACCATCAATTATTGCTGATTTTCCGGCCTCTTCTTGGATTTTATCTCCTTTCTAGGACCTATGAGTGGAATGGGCATGAATATGGGCATGGATGGGCAATGGCACTACATGTAACCTTCATCATGTAAAGCAATCGCAAAGCAAGGGGGAAGTAAGTACAGTCGGGTGCGATCTGTCTTCACTATCACTTCAGAGACTTTATTTTATTTTTTATAATTTGCCCCCATTTTATTTTTCCTTGCCCATAACTGCATGCCTTTCCAAACTAAGGACCTGTTTTTAAATATATATCACCCATCTCTGAAGTCACAGATGACACTGATGTGCACTTTTGAAAAGGCCAACTGACAAGCCTGCGTGTGTTTTAAGCAGGTGGGACTGCCTTTTAGCCTATTTACTGTGGCCCCAATGTGCACAAACACAGACATCAGGCAGATATTGGACATTTAAGAATAAAAATAATGTCTTGGGGGCACCAGTTGACTGAGAGAAATTAAGCAGGCTTCAATGAAGCGATAAAAAAAAAAAGGAAAAGTAGAACTGTCCTTTGAGTGACATAAATCTGTCAGAATACGATTGATGCCCAAATTATCTTATATGCAAAGATGAAATGCTGCAGTTCATTATGCCTAGTCTAGATATATGACAGCAGTGACACCATTGATTCTTCACTAGGGAGTCGGTGTGTTTTGATTATTTTTTACATGTGCCTACTGACTTCCGACATGAGACAGAAAGACAGGAAAGTCAGTCAATAAATTTAAAGGGAAAGACATTTAGGAGCAACTGAATATGAAGGAATGGATTTTTCACTGAGGCTGAATGGCTGCAGTTGGATTAAGAAACCCATTAGACTTTAAAGCTTCAAGTGTTTTTGACATCTGAAAAAAATTCAGAGTCTGCCAACAAGATATATCCTTTGCTGAAGACACCAGAGCATAAAAAAATTCATATAACATTGAAACTTCCTTGTTTAATGAGGCTGAATATAACAACACGTACCTTGATTAAATCATTCTCTATATGTAAATAGAGGCCAACATTTTATAGGGGAGCTCAGGGGGTCACCACGGCACACCATTGATGAAGCCAATTTCCTTCCTTCCTTCCTTTACTAATGCAGTCAAAAAATGTAGAAAGCAATGTTCCCTAAAACAGCTATAGAGAAAACATTTGCTCAGCTTGGATAGTTCTTAATATAGGCCATATAATTTCTAGCCTATTTAATTACATAACATATTTTATGCTTCATGACCAATTACATTAATAGCTTAATACAGAAGAATATTATCCTCTCTTGATTTGATTATGCAGCCACACAATATGGTATATTTGGTACTTAATTATCATCATCCATTGAGCAGGCTGCTGTGGTAGAATAAACAGAGAGCTGGGACTATGCAGGCTGTGTTATTGTCTTTAGATGGTTTTGCCACTTCTGTTAATAATGGACTGCGGATCTACTTAACAAAATGACTGCAGCATATAAGCCTTTAGATTACCAGCTTACAGTGTCAAAAACATCTGTTCAGCTTTTCAACTGTATGCACTGGAGGTTAAATAGAGGTGAATAAAGCTGTCCTTTTAGATCCGGGGATGTGCAACAGTAAATATAACCTTAATTCAATAAACAGGTAACTTGTAAGAGAAATCAGAATCCTTACAATTGCTGACTTCCCACCATTTAACTCATAACTTTGAATGTTGCATATCTCAATTGAGAATTTCTACATTTATTACATTTTATTCCTAATATCAAGGCATTATTTGGGGGGATTTTCAGAGATAAACTACCGGGCATGTCATATGACCTCACATTGACTTCTTACCTTTGACCTTTACAATCTCTTGGGTGTACTGCTATAGGAATGCCTCTAATTCAAAAAGGGGGCTTCATTTTAAATACACGTAAAAGCTCATTTCTTCAAAATGAATATGCTGTAATGTTTTGTGTAATAAATTTTTCATGAGGAAATATAGATATGATAAGATGTCAATTTTATTTTATTCTACTATCTACAATTTTTGTCCAGGTCTACAAATGCAACACAGAAAAATAAATGATCTATCAACAGTTAACTGATAAAACTCGACTCAAAATTTATATTCTTATTGCATTTATCAAAGAAATGTACTGAATACCATTTTGAAAAACAGTTCCACTTTATGACATTTAGTTGCATTAAATATTTAGTTCTGTTGTGTTGCATTATACTGCTGTGCGATGAAATTAAATGCAAACTACAATTTGAATGTCTGCAAACATTGGCAAGAATCTGCAGCTAAATTTAGGTATAAGATTTGCAGTGTCTGTTGTTTTTTTTTTTTTTTTCTTTTCATCTTTGATGGGTAAAGTATAAAAATGTTTAGGAATTTGACCCGCTTTCTTTTTCCCTCTCTATTTTCAGGTTTGCAGAGCATGCCAGGGGACTACGTTTCTCAGGGTGGTCCTATGGGAATGAGTATGGCACAGCCAAGTTACACTCCTCCCCAGATGACCCCACACCCTACTCAATTAAGACATGGACCCCCAATGCATTCATATTTGCCAAGCCATCCCCACCACCCAGCCATGATGATGCACGGAGGACCCCCTACCCACCCTGGAATGACTATGTCAGCACAGAGCCCCACAATGTTAAATTCTGTAGATCCCAATGTTGGCGGACAGGTTATGGACATTCATGCCCAATAGTATAAGGGAACTCAAGGGAAAAGGAAACACACGCAAAAACTATTTTAAGACTTTCTGAACTTTGACCAGATGTTGACACTTAATATGAAATTCCAGACAGCTGTGATTATTTTTTACTTTTGTCATTTTTCATCAAGCAACAGAGGACCAATGCAACAAGAACACAAATGTGAAATCATGGGCTGACTGAGACAATTCTGTCCATGTAAAGATCCTCTGGAAAAAGACTCCGAGAGTTATAACTACTGTAGTATAAATATAGGAACTAAGTTAAACTTGTACATTTCTGTTGATCACGCCGTTATGTTGCCTCAAATAGTTTTAGAAGAGAAAAAAAAATATATCCTTGTTTTCCACACTATGTGTGTTGTTCCCAAAAGAATGACTGTTTTGGTTCATCAGTGAATTCACCATCCAGGAGAGACTGTGGTATATATTTTAAACCTGTTGGGCCAATGAGAAAAGAACCACACTGGAGATCATGATGAACTTTTGGCTGAACCTCATCACTCGAACTCCAGCTTCAAGAATGTGTTTTCATGCCCGGCCTTTGTTCCTCCATAAATGTGTCCTTTAGTTTCAAACAGATCTTTATAGTTCGTGCTTCATAAGCCAATTCTTATTATTATTTTTGGGGGACTCTTCTTCAAAGAGCTTGCCAATGAAGATTTAAAGACAGAGCAGGAGCTTCTTCCAGGAGTTCTGAGCCTTGGTTGTGGACAAAACAATCTTAAGTTGGGCAGCTTTCCTCAACACAAAAAAAAGTTATTAATGGTCATTGAACCATAACTAGGACTTTATCAGAAACTCAAAGCTTGGGGGATAAAAAGGAGCAAGAGAATACTGTAACAAACTTCGTACAGAGTTCGGTCTATTAATTGTTTCATGTTAGATATTCTATGTGTTTACCTCAATTGAAAAAAAAAAGAATGTTTTTGCTAGTATCAGATCTGCTGTGGAATTGGTATTGTATGTCCATGAATTCTTCTTTTCTCAGCACGTGTTCCTCACTAGAAGAAAATGCTGTTACCTTTAAGCTTTGTCAAATTTACATTAAAATACTTGTATGAGGACTGTGACGTTATGTTAAAAAAAAAAAGGTGTTAAGTCACAAAAAGCGGTAATAAATATTTCATTTTTGATTTTTTGTTAGGCTTTTGCGTTTTTAATGGTTTTAGGACAAGACTGCACAATGCCAACTCTATACAGTGTTAAAAGTAGGTTTTTCCCCCCAGCAGTTGAGTATATTTTAAACTCATCAATAATTTTTAAGGTAATCATCTATAGCCTTTCAATGTCTATTTGACCTATAAGTTCCACCAGCAGAAAACTTCTAAAGGTACGAAACTATGTGTACATGATGAGCCAGGTTGAAAGATCCCCTTGAACATGCTCAACCTCCTTTTTAGATGCATGACGTTAAAAAATATATACTTTCAGATAAAGCTTTTCATGGGCATCCTCTGCCAGAATAAAGGACTTTTCAGGGTTAATTTTACAACATAAGAAATAATGTCTGTGCTCAAAGGTAATTTATCTGCCTGTGTTTTTCCTCTGCCTGTCTTACTACAATATTGTTGGATATGTAAATGAAAATTTACATATGGGTGTTCATAGATAAGTAAACAACTTCTATGGAGTTTGAAATTCTGACTTTAAAAGATTACTTAATCATTAATATTTTATAAATTATATTGTGGTATATTTTTATTTCAGACACATCCATGTGCAGGGATGCTAGTGTGATGATTTGATAACTAAACTTAAACTTTTTTCTGAAAACAAAACAAAACAAAATGGACGGTATAATGCCATTTTCAAAATTTTATGCAACATTCCTGGAAATCTATACCATTAGCTTATTGATACTGCACAAACAATGTCTGCTAAAGTGTGCAAAAAGGGTGAGGCATGTCCCCTCAATTTTCAAATAAATATACTATCCTGGAATTTTTTAACTCTTAAATTTTGAATCTTTGTTTAGAAAGAATAATGTCATATACTTTGGCTAGATATGTGATGTCAACCGGCTAAGGAAATTATTCATCATCTCTGCAAACTTAAACTTGGAAGAAATCCATAGTTATTATTTGGGGCTCTTCCATCTTTCCATTTCAGACAGCATTTATGGAGGTTCTATATAAATGAACGAGGAAATACACTTCTATTGTTTTGTGTTATATTTAGTCAGGTAGAATTTTTACAAATACATTTCAGTTTAAGTGTTGTGTTGCTGTTTAAACATAGAAATAATGCTTCTGACACAAACTAACTTAATAGAGAAATTCAGTGCCACTTGGGAAAGAGAGATAGCTTCCCTCTCATTTTTGCTATTCTATTTTACATGAAGTCTTTTTGTAAATTTTAAATATTTGCCTATTTTTACTTTAAATACTTTTATGTAAACTATGAAAATTCCCCATTATAAATCAACTCTCACATCAGGTGGGAAAAAGAACCTTTTTTTCTTTCCACTCAGTAAATTCTGAAGGGTTTCCTTGGCAATTGGCTCGTGTTTAGGATGTGTTTTATGCAATTATCAAGTTATCTCATTGAAGTTTAGAGACCAGAGCTCTCAACTCTTGGTTTTAATGAATAAAGTCATCTCATGCTTAGTTTATTCGTCAAACCCACGTCCTATCATGTTAACTTTAACCTTCTTAAATATTTGGAGATGAATGATAATTGTAATATTTGTTTGCATTACCTTGCTCTCCCCCACCCCCAACCCCATGATAACACAGAGAAGTGATAGATTTGTCCAATTTTTATAATGCTTTTTTTACACCACCCCGGAAGGCACTTGCTCCTATCTCGGGTTTACTATTTAGTGTAAAGAGTTCCGATTTGGGTATATTTAAGAAAGACTCAGCTGTCAAAAGCAAAGAAACTGGGAATGGTGTTTTGACAACCATATAGTGTTAAAGGAAATACTGTAGTCTGAATAAAATTGCTTATGTTCTCCAAAACAAGAGTAATATAAAAACACTTTTTTATTTATATGAAAAAGCAAAAGCAGAAATAAATTCCAAAGGTTTCCCTTTCTTTAAGAAATTCTGAGAGAACTGCAGTCGCCATCTGTTAAGGGTTGGGAATTGAGCAAGAAGCCACATTTTAAACGAAAAAGAGAGAAAAGACCAGGAAAGTCTGTGTCTTCCGTCCACCCCTCCTCTCTTCCACCCCCTAGGTCAGCACCCCTCACGCCCCTCAGCTCTCACCCTCGTTAGAGTCCACCAGGATCCTCCTGCCTCCTCACCCCCTCCCGCCCCCGCGGGCCTGTTAACCCGGAGCAGATTTGGGAAGGGAAATGTGGCTAATATCTCTAGCAGCTGTCAAAGGAGGGACCTTCCTTCAAAGGGACTGGACAGGGATCCTCCACAAGTTCTCCATTAGCTAGCAGGCCAGCAATTTGATAAGGAGCCTGGACCTCCGCTACAAGTTGCCACTCAGTTAGAAAGTCCGGTGTCCGGGTGTCTGGATGCGCGGAGTGACCCCAGCTTCGCGGCCGCAGCCCCCGCCGCCCACCCAGCGGGGTTGGTGCAGACGTGCGTCCTGGAGCCTAGGAGGAGGCAGGACAGAGGCTTGGGCCGCGGCAGAGGGGCGTGCAGAGGGCTACCCTGGCCCTCACCTGGCCTTCCCTGGGCGCGTGTGTTAGAGTTAGACCAACGTATTGCAAACTATGGGGGCACGGGGGGCCCGTCCCAGTTACAGTTGCAGTCATCAACTCAGGGCGTCGCGCGCCGGGGCGGGCCCCCTCCGTCGGGGCCGGGGCTGGGAGAAAGTGCCGCGCGGGGGAAATGCTGGTCTGATGGGGGAGGCCGGTCAGATTGTGATGAGAATGGAGACCGTCGGGGCAGTGTTTGAAGGGAGGTTTTAATATTAATAGTTTCGGTGTAGAGACAGAAGGGAGATTGCGTCTACGGCTCCTCCGGGCAGACTCTGGGTGACAGGAATGATGGATGATCCGGCAGAGCCCAACAGCTCCTCCCCCCCCAGCCCCAACAGTGTCAAAGCTACTTTAGTTGAAGCTTTAGAAATAAACAGCATCGCCACCCCCCCATACTCTTAGTACACCTCCACCCTCTCCCCCCGCTTTCCGACATCGATTTATGGATCATTATGAATCAATTACTGCCCTCAATACCTTCCCATTGGCTTAAATAAAACAGTTGAAAGATGAAAACGTGGGGTTCTGTGGAGATTTTTTTCCCTGACAAGAACAATCGCAAAATCCATTATCTCATAATCCGAGGCGCTGGGTGAGGAGGTGAAGAGAAAGGACGGGGTCACCCAGTAAATAACTGGGGGGAACGCAGGAAGGGGGGTGTCGCCCAGATGCTGCCTTTGTTTTCTTTCAGATGGGTTTGGTTGGTTGGTTTGTTTGGTGTTTGGGGAGCGGGGTAAACTCGCGTGAGAATTAGATGCCTACAAGTTTTGTGACCTAATTATTTAACTCCTTTGGAGAGACCCCTTTGAATATGTGTCTCGTCAAACATCAGATGTTGTTGGTAGTGAGGTCACACATGGGAAAAGGTGTGGAGGAATGGGTCCGTCTGGAGGGCGGATTTTCACTTTGTTGTGAGCAACTGTGCGCGGGAGGGTTGGCCGCCGGGTGGGGAGACCGTCCCTCTCCCCTCGCCCCCCGCCGCTGGCTGTTTTTGTCGTTGGAACTGGTTTGGATCTGGGGCTGGCCGTCCCCTTTCGCCCCCACCCCCACCTCGGCCGCCCGAGGCTTTTCTTCCCTCTCCTGCCTCTTCCGCGGCGGGGCTCGAGGTTCTCTAGGTGTTTCTATGACTACATTGTGTGTGTGGGAGGGTCAGACGTGGGGGTTGCCCGCGAGAGGGCCGTTCCTGGGCGATCATTTATCAATGTCACCCACATAATGATTCTCTCTGCAGCCTCCTATTGATGAGGATAATTACATTAGCTCAGAGTGACTGATCAATGAAAAACCATCACACAAAAACTTCTTTACTCCTCTATAATACCAAAAACCGATACAGAAATAACATAGAAAGCCTGATTTTCTTTCCCTTCCCTGTCCACCAATGGATTCTGCCCCCTCTGACTCCCCTCGCCCCCCACCCCACCCCAAAAAAGGACGGAGGAGTAAAGTAAGAAAATAGACCCAGGTTTGTTTCGTTTAAAGGAGGATGCAATTCTGTCCGTGAATGCATTTTCTCTAAATGTTGGCTTCATCCCTCCTTTGGTAGAGCATGTCAACGGATTTGCTAATGTGAGTTGCTTTCAGACTAGTCTGTGGTTTTTCTTTTTTATTTCTTTCCTCCCCTTTGGGCATTTTTTTTTTTTCTGCTTCAAAAAAGGAGATAATTCTTTCTACAAGTATCTGGTAAAAGAAATTCCTCTAGGTCCTCTTTTTAAAAAGCGTTTGCCTAAGTCGGGTTATCTTTTGTCTTTATCACTTCATAAAGTAGAGCAATTAAAGATGTGATGTTGCATGGGCGGAAAGGGTGGATCCATTATACGGCGACATAATACGCTATATTCTCGCCTGAAAGTTTGAAGCTAAATTACGATTTCGCTTTTTCTAGACTTAAAAATCAATATTTTCTCAATTAAAGCGAATTTTAATGCTTTACTTGCGAGTTGTTAAAGGCGCTGTAAATTGTATTGTAATGCTCTTGACTTCGGAGTAGATGCAGGAGACGGGTTGATTCTCGTGGTCTTTTTCCTCTCGAGGAACCTAGCCCAGGAACATCCCATGGTTTCATATCAAATTGAAGCAACAAAGGTAAGAAGGGTTGTAAGAGGGACGGGGCAAAAGGTGGGGAGCCCGCCAAGGAAGCCCACCAGCGCCAGAGGCCATTGTCTTGTATATTTTCACCTCCCTGTGTCCTGCCTCCTGAAAGTGACGGAGGGGTCCATTTTACTCTAATCTTTCTCAAAGGGGAGCACGTTCGACTCACATCTGCTCTTTAATGGTCAGAAAAGGAGCTGCATTTGGGGAGCATTCTAAACTCTTCCCAGGGTCCCCCTGTTCTCTTCCCTCTCCTTATTTAACCAAATGCTAACTCGGAACTGGCTCTTTCACCAATATGGCCATATTTTATGTGTTCTGGCTTCTATATCAGAAATCATTCCCCACCCTCAGGAGCATGCACTGTTTACAGACGTTTTCTCCTTCCACAAGTCCCACCTAGTAAAAGTTCCCGCAGAGAATTAACTGTGGTGTGTTAATAGCCCAGGTCTGCTACTGCTCTCTCCTGCAAAGTTGAAATCTGGTAACCAGGAATATGGCATTGAATTAATGCTGGGAGCTGTTCAAGGTCAGCAGAAGCCCAAAGACTTGAGAATTCTAAGGCCCAGAGACTTGATGGGAAGCAAGGTAGTGAAACTTTAAGAAAGTAAGGCAGAGAGGAGGAGAAGAAAATGAGGCCAGGAGGGAACATAATTAGAGAAGAATAGGACAAGGCAGAAAAATGAGCCTTTGGGACCTCTTTATAATTTAAGAAGAAATAATAATGAAGGGAAATTGAATATCTAAGGCTTGCTATTACATTTTTTGAGGCCAATATCCGTTTAAGAACAAATCCTCAGAGATGCCAGGAAGGGCCTGGGTTTCCAAATGGAACTACTCACAAAGTTCCTTTTGCAGTTCCTTCTTCTGTTAATTTGCTGGGAATGAGAAGACTAGGGAAAAGGCGATGTGTGTGGTGTACCAAGGGCTTAAGTAAGAGTATGATGGGAAGGGGCACCTAGATATAATGAGGCTGCTGTTTTAAGCTGAATAGAAAAGAGGAGAAGAAAGAAAAAGCCACACAACACCACAATACACTTTAAAATAATTCTCACCCACCTGCCTTCCTTTTTCTCTAACCACACACTATATTGAATAGTACACATAGGTGGGGGAAATTTCTAGTTCATCACCTTCTGTCTGTAGACCCACCAACGGAGCCCCCTTCCCTTAGATTCCTGACATGTAAGCCTAGACCATGGCCTTTTTATCAAGTGAGTGGGGCTTTGTTAATGTATTTGTACTTTTCTGCTTTCAGTCTAAGTTTCTCGCTTTGGAGGAGGGAGGAGATGCAAGAAAGGAGGGGGAGGGGGGCAGAACACAAAGACTTTATCTAGTTCTCACCAAGCAGGTTTCAAAATAGGAACTTAATGGGAAGAAAGACGAAAGAATTAAAAAAAATAAGAGGGGCGTGAGAATTGTTTATTACAAGTTTACTTGTCTGGAAGAGAGGTGATTCTGTGGATATTTTTCGCTTTGAGGATTCTGTTTGCCTCTTATTGAAACATTTTCAAATTTTAATCCTTTAGCAGACAAAACCTCAATATAAATATGACATGGGCCACTGACAAAAAAACGAACTTAAACTCAGTGCTTAGAAGGGAGGAGGTGTGGGGAGGAGAGAGCCCTTTCTGATTAATAACTAGCAGGGTAATGTTGAGGGCTTTTTCTGCCCGATTGCCTTTTTGAATTAGAGCCGATTTCTTCACACTTCAATAGTGCCTGTCTCCTTTAAAATGACTGGCAGATTTGTTTCTCTTTTTTTTTCTCTCCCTGAGACTTAATGATGTAAATTTTCTAATTAGTTAAATCATATTGCTTAAAGGCCTAATATTTACCATGTAAGAAATGATCATCCAGATTTGGACCACTTGAAATATTCTGAGAAATAACACTTGGCTTTTAGGTTGAGGGATGAAGAGGAGAAAGCTGTATTACGGGAAGCTGTTTAGAGAAGAGAAGGCATAAACCCGGTAACATGTTAAATTAATAGATGAAGTTGAGCTGGGCTCACACCCCAAGTCCGCTTTTATTTTTCAATCAGCGAAGATTTAATTGGCAGCCCTCAGGCTGGGCGATCTGATATTTTCTCATTAGTTTCCCATCACTAATCTTGAGTGTTAGATTGGCTCAAAGGTTGTCAACATTTGACCAATTTTATTTAAGGAAAAAAAAAAATCATGCATTATGGCTCCTGGACGTGAGATCTGCAAATAAATCCTGCTTGGATCAGCGGAACCAACAGGCGAAAAAAATGTTGACTATTCATCGTCGCATTTAATAAGTTGCATTAATGTATATTTCAAGGCGAGAGAGAGAGAGATTATACATGTGGTGCGTAGATGCCGATGAAAAGAAAGAGGTGGATGGGGAACGGGATGCACTATAAGCGGGATGGGTAGGTAAAGTGAGACGTAGAAGCATTTCGAACCGAGGGTAAATAACCCAAGTGGAATAGCTGTTGAGGATTTAGGAACTACAATCCCCCCTCCCTTTCCTTTTGCAGCTGCGTGAAACTGCCAAGCCTGTCTTGCAAGCACAGAGTGGCTCTGCTGTCTAGTCCAGAGCTAACATCAGAGCGCCCCCTGCTGGCAATTAGAGCAGAACGCTGCGGGTCAGCCCCCTGCGAAGCGAATCTTGTTTTTCTGCGCACCCCACCTTTCACTGACTCCTTCCACCGCCCCCACGTCCATTCTCCAGCAAAACCCCGCGGCAGGGGAATACCTTGTCAAGGACTGAACATTTAAATGAATAAATGATAATAATAATAATAATAAAATGCGAAGGAACCCCCCCACCTTCGCTTGGCCTCTGGGGAATAAACTATCAAAAGCCTTGGCAGAGGACACCTTTCCTTTTTCTACATCTCTGTATTCTCTGCGTTTTCGCTACAGTTTGTTTTTCCTGCAGAACTGCAGATTCCGAGTCCAAGGAAATGTTTTTAATAGATGCTGTAGACGTTTTAAAAATGGATATCTGATGGGGAAAGAGGCCAATACAAAGCAATATTTTGCATCCTCACAAAATTAAACTCCCAGGAAACTCGCACTGTTTAGAAAAGTCTTGAGGGATAGCTTTCGGAATTCAGACGGTTCCTTGTCCAGAATGACCCTTTCCTGCAACGCAAAGCAATACCAGACCCTGTCCGAATCTTTTTTTTTAAGCAGAAAAAGTGTTTAAAAGTTGTCACCATAGCTACACACACACACACACACACACACACACACACACACACACACACGTCTTTTCCATGGGTGTGTCTATTCTTTTTGGGGTCGTACTTCTCAATTTTGCTGGAAACGGAAAAGGTAGCTGAAGTGCACCAAAATAACCGATGTCTTTGACATTTGATCTTACTATAGTGTTTCACGTCCAATGCAAGGTGTGAGACTGCTACTATTTGAGAGAATTTTGGTTCTTTTTCAACGGTTCGGTGCATAGAGGCATTTTCTTGGTTTCCCAGTTAATCTGCCGCGGGATTTATGAGCACCATGTAACGCGAGGGCGCACAGGTAACGAGAGCCGGAACAATCTCAGGCTGGCAGCCGCACCGCCTGCACCGCCAACCTCCACTCTTGGGAAAGGCGCTGGCAATGCAGCCCTGACTCGGATAAGTCTTCCAACCGCAACCAGACCCCCACATAACGAGTGTCAATCTACACCGCGGAACGACTTTTGTTTCTGAGGGAGTTTTTGGTTTTGCTTTCCAAAGTACCGGATTTTGGGATTTTGTTAAAACAGTGCTCAGAAATGAGGCGCGGGGGAAGGAACACGGGCAGGGAGGACAGCAAGGGAAAGGTGTGTCTCTGGACTTTAATTTCTTGCCAGAGTAGCAGGACTTTCTGGTTTAAAAATCCATTCTCCTCTTTCGCTTCTTCCCAGAAGCCCTGTGTCACCCCTTCTCCAACCCCCATTCCCATCTTTGGAGACACTCAGGGAGGGGACAGGGACCCCGGTGACTCCCTAGAACCAGCGCTCCTAGGGCAAGGCAGAGGTGGGAGACAACCCGGTCTTCAGGCCAGTGAAGTGATGCCTCAGTCTGATTGTGTTTGAAGATTTGCTGGGGCTATTGTGTGACAATTGAGGTAAAGTTAAATATTGATACTCCAAGCTGTTATCATTTTGGGGGGTCTGTTTTGAGGAAGTCCATTGGGTTCAAACTGATTTTAAATATAAATCCTGCTCTGGGGAAGCAGAATCTACTGCCTGCAACGGGGGTTGACTGTTTGAAAGGTCCTCGTTAAGCTCAGAAGTGGAAGGGAAGTTATCTGCAGACCATATGAGTCTATTCAAATATATATGTATATACGTATGTGGGTATATATACAAAATATCTATATATAGCTATCTACATATCTGTACAAAGAAAACAAAATAATAAAGACAAGAAAGGGGGTGTCCCTCATAGCAGTTGAATCCAAATAAAAATATTTCTCTCACATATAAAGGAAATATGATCATCTCATTGTATTGTCTCTGTTTGACTTAATGAAATTTGGAGACATTGACAGTCTGGTCAATGTTCTAAGTAAATTAATGTGAAGGTCCTTAGGAAGAGACGGAAAACACCCCTTGCCATTAATCTTAAACCACTTGAAGATTATGAGTAAAAGAATGGGATCACTAAGCATTACCATCTCAAGTAGCTGTTAACTGCCCCCATCCCTTTATTGTGGCAACAAAATAAACTCTTCACTAAGAATGATGTTTCTTCCTTTTTTGTCTTTGTTTTTGTTTTGCTTTAAGGGCAAAGAAGGGAAAACAGAAGCAAAGAAAACTGTTTCAAAAGTCTTGGAATTGCTACTGTTAAAAGGCTGCGGTTCATTTCTGATTTCCTCATCTTTTGCTACAAAGGAAAAAGAAATCCAATGATGTGTCTACCTTTGGTGAGAAGAAAACACGAGCAACAGCAGTGTAGGTGTGTTTGTTTGTTTTTCTTTTTTCCTGGAAAAATATTTTTAATATTCACCAATTAGCGAGTTGAAAGCTGTGGAGATGTAAAAGATGTTCTCTTGTCCACATCTATTTGTTGAGTTTCGTCAATGGAGTTTTGTAGGCATTTGTACCAGATAGAAATGGAGAGAAAGAGAATTAAACACTTGCCAAGGAACAATATATACACTTTCAGGTAACTCCACCTAATCCTGTATTTGAGTGCTGATAGGGAGGAGGAGGGGGTGCTATTTTCCCCTCACAAACCCCCCAAAGCCGTATTAGACAGAAAGAGGGGGTGAGAACTCTATGACTGAGCATTCTGACAAAAATGGAAGCAGCACCTCTCTGCTCCTAGACCCCTAAGGAAAGACGCCCCCAAAATGTGCAAAAGCCGTTATGTTTCCTTTAGAGTCCTGAGTTGGGTGGACCTTTCAGAGACATACACAGTCATTAATATTTTAAAAAACAAAATGCAGAAACGGAGGGCAGTGGCTAACAGAAAAGAAAAACATGCTAAAATTTATTCCTGAAACACCGCAAATTTCCAGATGCCACAAAAAATCAATGCAAACGCACCCCCTCCTAACTGAGCAGACAGACCCGGTGAGGGTTCCAGTTGAAACTGGAATTGGAGATCTGAACTCCGCTAGAGCAATGGGAGACGTTACCCCGAGGCTTCCGGAGTGGAGGTAGGGGACGTCTCCCTCCTTCCAGCCCGCGGTTCCCACCTGTTCCCTCCGCCCGGGGCTGGGGCGCGGGAGAGAGCAGGAGCTGGAGCGATTCCGCCTACAGTCTCCAAGGCGTACCTGGCGCTACTGCTGCTCTTACCAAACCAAGAAGGAAACCCAGATAGGCCCCTAGAGGCCAAAGACCCCGCCAAAGGGACCGAAGCTCCCGGTCCGAGGCATACGCAACGGCCTGCCCTGTTCCCAGGCCAGGCTCCCACGCCCGGATGGACAAAAGGCTCACAGGCCACACTGGTCCCGGAGCCGCTGTGAAACGCAATGGAGGGGGACAGTCTCCTCGCCGCGCTCTGGTGCGTGTGTGCGCGCGCGCGTGTGTGAAACACGTGCACTCGGTGCGGGCCTCCGGCCGCAGACGTCACCTGAGGAAGTTCACCCCCGGGGTTCCCAGGCCCTGAACCCGCCATCCCCTCCATGTCGCCTCAGCCGCCCCCACCTGCTACCCAAATCCCGGGACACGCCCGGACAGGTGTGCAGCCTCTAACTGGAAAGCTCCCGGGAAAAGAGCCACGCCAGGAAAGGAGGCGGCTGGAGGAGGGGGTAGGGATAGAGAAGAGAGATGGTACTTCCAGAGCTCAGACGTCCCTATCTTCCGAGAAATTGTCATCACACTCAATCTTTACACCCTGATCTACGGTATCCAAAAAGCAGACATTGATTCGCGGAAAAATCGAGTTCTCGAAAATACAGGGATTTGACGCGGACTCCTGAGACCTGCGCAGGCGTTGCTTAGGTTCAAAAGTATGATTTTAATTTTCTTAATGAAGGCGCGCTCTAGAGCTCAGCTGGTAATGGCTGTGTTGAGTTTAATAGACTTCTGTCGAACAGAAAAAGACGGATAAGTAATCTGCTCTAATGCAATTATTTTCCCAGGTTCGAAAGTCATTGTGCAGAGAGGGCAGGAGTGAATTAAGGCCCCGGGGACCGCGGACGCCTGGCCAGGAGACCGCCTGAAATATGAGCCGAACCTGTTTTGTGAGATGCACTTGGGTTTGGGGGTCAGGGTCGAAGGCTTCAAAGCCCTTGGTCTGCACGTGTGAAAAATCTCTCTCTTCCTCCCTCCCTCCTGCTCCTCCTCTCCCTCTCTTTCTCCCTGTTCCCCTTTCTCCTCACCTCTCTCAGAATTAATGTTAATTTCCTCTCCCCCTCCTCTATTTTGCTTGTCTTTGTGTATTTCATGCTGATCCATTTAATCCAAAGTATTTCTCTGAAACACACACAGAAGTAGGCTCTTGGACTGTGTCAGCCCAATCACCTTTTGAAACCCAAGAGAATTGGGATGTTGAAGATACTGAGGACACTGTGTACATACATAGACAATGTATTGTGAGGGCTATTTCTATCCCAGTAATGAGCCAGTGCCCATCACTGTGCAAAAGTTTTAGCCTTAACACAAGTTATCATTCACAGTATTTATTTGGCGTTGTCCAAAGTCTTCTCAGCTTCATTTGTTCAAACTCTTCTCAGCTTCAAACTCTTCACTTTGCCAGGTGAACAGAATCTCAAGCAGGCGTCATTTTAAAAAATAAAAATATCACAACTCATAATTTCCCTTCTTACAGAAAACCCAAATCGATGCAAAGAAAGCCCTTCATTCTCACCTGGACGAAAGAGTTGGAGACAGGGCAGGCCGCCTGGCCAGAGGAGTGAGCACTGGCAGCTGAGCCAGCACCCTAGAGCCCAGCACCCCTGAGCCCAGCTCTCTAGTGTGAACCTCTGCCCGGCCACTCCAGCCCCACTCTTCCCGACAGCCTCTCTCCCCGGTGCTGGAAAACAAAGAAAGTTCTTGGGACTGAGGCACAAAAAGGGTTAAATGAACCCCAAGCAATAGGTGTGTCTATTCCAGACCCCTAGGTGAGGCGACAGTAGCTGGGTTTGATGCGTGTCTCTGAGCTCCACAAACTGATTTGGTCTAGGGTTCCTTAGCTTTGTACATTCTCTTTCTTTCTCCCCCACCCCATCACACACACACACAGACACACACACACACACACACACACAAACACGCATGCGGTGACCTAGGCACGTGTGCTCACAAACATCCACAAAGCTCTGTAATTGCTGTCTCCTCTTCCCTGACCCGATCCTATCCCAGTCCTTCCTACCCCGCCGCCCGCGCCCGCCTCCACAGCAGCTGGATTCACACAAAAAAGGGAAGAACGTTAAAACAAGCAAAAATCCATTTGCAAACCCCCCTCGGTTCCCCCCCCCGCCCCCACCGGCTGAGGAGGAGCACAGCTGGCTCCCCCGAGACAGGAAGCTGGGGTGCAGCAGGCCAGGGAGCAAGGCTCCTCCCGTCTGTGGGCCTTGCAGTGCCACCTCTCACAGAGGGTGTGGGGGTTGGGTGAGGTGAAGGGTGCTTTTCACTTTCCCCCTCCCCCACGCTCTTCGCGGGCTTTTGGGAATGGAGTTAGGAAGAGATCCAGTCTTCAGGACCCCACGACTCTCAGGACCTGGAGAAGCAGCGTAGGGCGGGCGCCTCCGAGCTGCCACAGTGTGACTGCACCAGAGCCCACGTCCGCCGGCGAGAAAGTCTGCGCCGAGGACGGCCGCGTCGAACTCCTGAAGCGCTCAGCCCGCAGAGAAGCTCGCTCGGCAGTGCTCAGGCCCAGCCCAATCTAGCAGTCTAGCATTTGGGTGGCACCAGGATGGAGGGCTGCCTCTGGCTCCAAAAGCAGATTTGGAATGCAGGAGAACGAGTGACTGTCAGAGCCAGTCTCTCTCCTCTGTCCTCTCTCTCTCCTCTCTCTCAAGCCAGATTTAGAATGCAGGAGAAAGGGTGACAGAGCCAGTCTCTCTCCTCTCTCCCCTCTCCCCTCTCTCTCTTTCTCTCCCACTGCGCCTCTGCCATTCCTAGATCTCTCTTCCCATGCCTTCGGAGGACACACCTGCAGGAGCTGCTGAGTTGTTTTGGTGACCCGGGAGATCAATAGCAAGGACCCAGAAACACCCACAAGCTCTAAGTGGGTCTAATTTTGCTTTTGAAAAGTAGTAGGAGAGGAAAGAGACTTTATTACCTAACCGTGAGTTTTCCAAGATGATCCCCCTCAGCCAAGCAAAGTTGAGAAGGGTTCGACAGAGGGTGAGGACAAGATAGTTCCCTCTTAGCCCCCTCCACACCTCTACAAGAAACCTGGACGGAGCTCCCCCACCAGCTGAGAACTCCTTGTAAAGGCGCCTTGGGGTCCCCACCTGTGCCACTTACCCAGATCACCACGGCCTCTAGGATCTCAGACCATTCTCATCCCGGAAGCCGCTGACTAGACCAGGTCGGGGAAACACTAGGAGGCCCAGTCAGTCAGTATTGCTTCTCTCTCTCTCATTTACCCTCCTCTTTTAAAGGTCAGCGGAGGAAAGCAGTTTTTCTTTTTCCTTCTTTCTTTCTTTCTTTCTTTTCTTTTCTTTTCTTTTTTTTTTTTTTTTTTTTGCAGTAAATCACATGTGTAATTGCATTCACATAGAATTAAGAAGTAAAATATATCTTTTGTGCAAATGCACTTAGACATGTTTAAAGAGGGACTGCCCTGAACACAGTCGGTTTTTAAAGAATGAAACAATTAAATACAAGCTTTAAAGATAAAGAATATGAAGAGTGCCCAGTATCCCCTTCCATTGCCTTTACATAAATTAGGTGGGTCTCAGGAATAGCTCAAGTATCAACAGTTCTTAAAGCTAACTAACCAATACACAAAAATAACAGATAATCACATCTTTAAAGTAAGTTACCCTCAAAGAAGTTAGAAGTGAATACCTAACTGCAGAGTTAAGCTTTTCCTGCTTCTTTATTTATCCAGGTCTCTTAATTTTAAAACAGATTAAATAATCTGCTCAAAAGGGTTGATATTGCCCACCAAAACAGAGTGAAGACCGTTGTTCATACTTTGAAGCTTATCCATGAGCCTTGGGACTTTTTGAATGTTTAAATGAAGTGTAAATAGATTAAGGTCACAGGTGATTGACAAGATCAAGCTGCTTAACTCAATTATCAAACTTTTATTTCAAAATTATGTTCAATTTGATTCTCCTGCTTTGCTATAAAAGATCTTAGAAAATCCAATAGGAGCAGACAATTTACATTGTGTCGTATGTACTGTGATTTATTTGTAAAATTATTTTGTGATATATATATACCTCCTTTAATGTTTTTGAGGAAACCATGTCTTTCCAATTAGATTTAGGAACACAGCTATCATACTAATTCAAAGGCAGTTACTTTGAAGACTCAAAGATCAGCAAATTTTAACAATTTTCTAAAATATGTCTAAATTTCTAAACTGCAGGCAGAAACTGCAGGCTGTTCAGAATCCAATTCTCTGGATATTGGCATGCTACATTCAATGTCCAGCTACATTAAGTGTCCATCTATCAAAATACTAGGTAAGAGTGCAATTTGTAAATATATATCCTACAACTCTTTTCTAACATAATATCTCAACGTTCTCCTATGCATTATTTAATAGATAACCAAACTCTTCAGATTAAGGCTCATGCTGCCACATCTGGAAATGCTTCCTTTGCATTACCCATCACCACCTCCTCACCTCGCCCCAGCCACCAGTGAGAGAAATAGCTGAAGCCTCCCCTTCCACCATTATATGATAGCATCAGCTTTTAATCAGTGAGAGGCACTCCTATTTAAATTTACAGGATGACTCTTTATTTCATTTATCTTTTCTTTTGGAGGAAAGTGAAACAAGAGCACCACCCTTATTAATTATAAGATTGATGAGGTGAAAAAAGCCAAATGAATTTGGCTTGCAAATTATTAGTCTAGGTATGAATATTTATGACTGTGCCAGGAACTGCAGTCATGAACCCTGGGTATCAGGCATGGGAGAGAGTCAGCCCAGTGCATTCAATGAGGGTTCAGTCTCCCCAAATCTGACATGACATAAATGGAAACTTTGAAATTAGACCCAGGGTGGGCTCCCATTAAATCAGTTTATTTTCTTTCTTTTTCTTTTCTTTTTCTTTTTTTGGCTAGTCTTGCTAAACATGAACTTGCTTCCAGTGGCTTCCTTCATAAGCTTTAAAAACCTTTTAAAGTGAAGGAAGACACTTATAGATTTTGTGAAGAAAACTTTTATTTTCCCGACTTGATATTCACTTATGTTTCAAAGCAAGTTTTTCTGTAAAATATTTGTGACATGCATTTAACATTTTTTAAACTATTTTTATTCCGTTTAAAAATATTGGAAACCTAAAATATCCTGGGTATAGGAAGGATTTAAATAGACACAATTGAAGTTCGATGCAGAGAGAAATGAGAGGGAAAAGAAAGCAGCAATGGGAGAGATGAAAAGACAAGTTTTCTATTTATTTGCTTGTTTTCCTTTTTATGCACCACACTTACTCATGCTTTTTCATCCCAAAGTGAGGAAATTTAAATGAAAGGTGGAGGCAGAAAGCATCAAGGTAGAAAGGAAAGGGTCAAAACAAGGATTTAATAATTTAGTTAAAGACAAACTATATTCTCTTCTTTTCCTCCTCGTGATTATACATGTAAGAGTTTTGTAGTGCTTTGGAAAAGACGCTGGGGGTTTGAGATTTAACGAGCTCAAATACTGCCTCATCACCGGCTTCTTTTCTGTAAAAGAAATGTTGAGTGGGAGCTGACCCAATCCTGTGAAAATGGTTCATTCTGACATCAGAGCCAGCTTCGCACATACATTTTGAAAAGGAAGACAAGTTGTTTTCAAAACAGAAATGCTAAGCATTCTAAAAAGCATAAGCAATTTAAAAAATGCTCCTCAAATTTTCTGAAAAACTCCCAACTACATATATATATATATTTCACAATTGTAAGTGGATATTTGTGCTAAATTGATGCTTTATGTATATCCTGTCTCAATTTGTCTGTTCACTGTAAAGATATAATTTTTTTAAGAAGCTATACCACTGACAACAATTTACTTAAATTCACAAACCTTGAAATTGATGCCTCTCCTATCAATCACATTCAGTAGATACAGTAAAACACATTCAACATTTGTATATCAATAGTGGCACACACACAAATCTGTTTTGTTCAATTTAAATGCTCTTCAACATGTCATTTCGTATTTTTCTGGAACATGTTATGGGTTAGTCATCCTGTTTCAGCTTATTGTTAAATCCTTAACCTAATGAAAATTCAAAATAGAATATTTACTTGTCATGAGTTTCAGAGCTGAATGGTGGACTTTAGGAATAATTTGGACAACTTCTCTTATCATTCCAGCAAAGAATTGGAGGCCTAATGATGGCAACTGACTAGTCCAATTCATAAAACTAGTTAGCTCTGGTTTTTGACAACATCCCAAAGCTTTTAACTTCAGGCCAATTTTTCTTATTATATGGTGCTTTCCCATTTTCTGCCCTCTATAATACAGTAGTATTTATAATACTATATGCAGAATTTTTACTAATATTTTTCCTTCCAGCACATTGATAATGAAACTCTTATTAAATAACAAGAAGAGAGTGATTGGTCTGTTTGCTGACATGAAGATCTGTTCTTGATCTGTGATGTCTGTTTTAATTAGGCAAAAACGAGATCTATCATCTACCTGCAGGATAAATAGATGCCAGTATTGGCACAAAAACAAACTTTGTATTTATAGAAATACCAAACTTCTCTATTTATTGGTTACACGTCAGCTCAGTCAATCAAGCTAGAACTAGATATAAATAGGAATAACTGAGAAAGATACTTCAAAATCTCCAAAAAATGTTCACCAGGAATATTTAAATGGATACCAGAGTTCCTTGACTTCAACACTAATAGCTGGCTTCTAGGTAACCTTCCCACCTGGCTCTTCTCTTCACCCCAAATTGAATCCTACACATGCTCCATATTTTTTACATTAAGAAGTCCTATTCATGCCTGAGATGTTCTTATATTTATGATGGCCCCTTCTGTCAAATTGTTATTTCTGTAGCCTGCTGTCAGAAACGTCACTCAAAGTTTCCTTTCCACCTCTCTTTACCCTCTGTCATAGTCACTTAGAAGGTCTAATCCAAGTAGAATCTACTTCACCTATAAAATGAAACTGGGAGAACTTTTTTCATTTCCTGTCACCTCCCCCTCTTCCCAGCCAACACCTCCCCCAGCTTTATCTTGATTCTGTTTAAGGCTGTTTGCTGTTTCTCCCTGTGGTAAAATTTTTCATCCAAGCTATTTCTCTTAAGGTTCAAATATCTAACTTTCATGAGAAAATACATGTATAAATATTTTGGGCATGTTTTCTGAATCTATGCTACTTAGGTTAATACTCAGGCAAGAAAGAAAACAACAGCAAAAGTAAAAGACCCGCCAATTACAGAAAGTTCTGGAGCAAAAATAGCCGATACTTGACTTTTTTAAATATAAAAAATAATATATCAAACCTGTTGGTGTTTAAAACTTTTTTTCTTTATCAATGGCCTCCTCTCTGCTAAGTTTCCATTTCATGATTTTTGTATGAATATGATAAATGGTCATTAAGTCTAACCAGTTTTATTTAATGTTCGTAAAAACTGGTAGGTTTTCAAACAGATGTGGCCTGATATGGTTCAGTGAATTTAGTGGACTTCTCATATAAATGGAATAATAACCATAAGGAAGATGTATTTTATACCCTTGTTTACCGCTTCCAGACTCACCCTTATTATAATTACAAATAGTGTTTATTATGTATTATGCAATATACATACCATGGTCCAGAGACCGCACAAAACTTTAACTTAATCACTGCCATCTAGAGTTTATAATCCAAGAGCACCAACACCAAAAACTACAGGGAAACACAGACAAATAGAAAGGGCACCATGATATATTCTTTTTTTTAATAAAAAACCAAATATAATGGAACCTAGCTTATGAATGTGTAACACATTTTTATCTTTTCATTTAAATATTTTTTTCAGATCCAAGTAGATGGTTGGGAAAGAGAGAATAGTTTATTTCACTTATTTTCTGTCAACTAGGGATGACTTTGGACAACTCTTCCCCTTTTAACCTTTTTAAAAGAGACTGGCAAAGAGAAGAAGGTGGCAACCAGAGCTGCCTAAGTGGAGGGAGTACACACAGGTTTAAATAATGAAGGCAGGAGAGCTCAGCAGCTTCACACATCACTTTACAGTCAGACAGTCTGGGTCGCAATGCTGGCTCAGCCTCTCATCAGCTACACGACCCTAGGCAAACTCACACTTCCAAACTTCTCATAGGGCTTTCACATGCTCACCAAAGGAATTAATGAATGATGAAATTTATCCTAGTACTTGGCTCATGGTGAGCAGTCAATAAATACCAGTTATTATTGTTAATGGGATAGTTAACATCCTATACCACCCCTACCCCTAAGCTTAGACAGGACCTCATGTGAACAATTCATAAAATTTTAACATCTTCTACTTTTATTAATCATATAAGAATTCAACACTTCTGTTAGTTTAGATTCTCCATTTGTTCTATATTGTGTAGGTCACTTTAATTGCTTGTATATTCGCATCTGTATAGTTATCATTTAATATTCCATGTTTGAAAAAGACCCACACAGCATACATTTTCATGGGCAAGTCATTGAGTAAATAGCTTACTCAATGGGTTTGTTGGTTATTAGGTAATGGGAAGACCACTATGCTGAGAGCCAGGAAAACTGGATTCTAAATATTGTTTCCCACTTATTAGCTCTGTAATTGGGCCTCAGTTTCCTCACCTGCAAAATAGGTTGGAGTAGAAAATATCCAAGGTCCATTCTGGCTTTAATAGTCAGGAATTCTATGACTCACATAGGAAACTTTTCCTAGAAGAATCTTTTTGCTTCCTTTCAAGTACACATTGAGAAATATTATGTGCCTGGCCCTGTGCTAGGCCCTGAGACTCAATGAGATATAAGTAGAGTTCTGTGTTCAAGACATTTACAGTCTAGCAGGGTGACTAACATTACATTACAGTGTAATAACTGCTATTTTACAGATATCTTTGGGGAATTATAAGACCTGATAGAAGCAACATCTAATGAATGGGAGGCAACTACGTGACCAGGGGAAGAGAAGGAAAAGCTTTGTAGAGGAACTGGCACCTGAACTGTCTTGAGGAATAAATAAGAATTAAGGCAGAGGTGAGGAGAAAGGCATGACAGGAGGAAATAGTATGTGTAAAGAAACAAACAAACAAACAAAAACAAAAAAGAGAGAAAGATAAGGCCATACAGAAAACTGGTAGTTAAGCCTGGCTGGAGGTCAGAGGGTATGTGTGACTGAGTAGACATGTGACTTCTCCCTCTTCACTCTTCCATTTCCCCACAGTCAATCTTATAGAGTCCTTTGGCTTCAGTTACCCTTCATTGGCTGACGATTCCCCAGTTTTCTATTTTTGGCCTAGAACCTACATTTGAGCTTTAGACCTATACATTCAGTTCTCCAGTAGACATCTCTATAGGTCAAGAGGCACCCTAAACTCGTGATCTTCACCCCTGAGGAAACACCTTCTCCTGTGTTCACTGTCTTGGTAAATGGTATTACCATCCACCCAGTTGCTTGTGCTAGAGATTGGGTTTTATCCTTGATATTTATTTTTCTTTTCTTCATCCCCAATGCCTCCACAAGTGGTATCAAATCCAATAAATTTCCAAGGCCTAATAATTATGCCCCTAAATGCATCTTTAACCCATATGTTTCTCTCTGTTTCAGCTGCCACCACCCTAGTTTTATTTGGACTTCACCATTGGGGGTTCTGGAGCCAAATCTGATCTCTTCATATTCCTATTCAAAATCCTTTGATGGAAACCCACCACCATTCTTAAGATAAAGTCCACATTTCTTAAAATGTTCTAAGGCCTTGACTGATTTCACTTCTGTCCCCCGATCTTCAGCCCCATCTGGAATCCCCTTATTCTCTTTAATCCAGTCATGTTGTCCACCATTACATTGTTCAAATAGTATAGCCTCGTCCTACCTCAGAGCTTTTGCACATTCTGTTTCCTCGGTCTGGAAGGTTCTTCTTTCCTCCACTGTCCCCCATCTGTAACTTAGCTAACTGCTATTCATTTCTCAGATCTCAGTTTAAATGCCACTTCTGCAGGAGAATTTTTCTTGACCATTTCCCCTCTAGATTAAGCTACATTCTCTATTCTCATAATAACATTTAAATTTTCTTTGCATCATTATCACAGTTATACTTCATTAATAGTTAATTATGTCATGATTGGTTTAATGTCTGTTTCCCCAGCTAGACTATGTGTTCCATGGTGACAAGGTCTGGTATCTTGGGTTCACTATGGTATCCCCAATGTCTAACCAATATTTTTGAAGGTAAAAGAAGATGAAGGGAGGGAGGGAGAAGTCAAAAAATATAAGGCCTGAAAAATGCCCATTGGATTTAGCAACTAAGAGGTCATGGATGACTTCAGAGAAGGCAGTTTCAGTGGCAAGGCATGGGTAGATGAAGATTGAAGTGGGTTAGGAACAAAAGGGAGGTGAGAAAGTGAAGGCAGTGGGTGTAAACTAATTTGAAGAATCTTAGTCATGGAAAAAAAGCAATATGACAGTAGATAAAGGGAAGATGTAGGATCAGGGCATGTTTTGCTTTCTAAGATGAAAGAACTGAGCTTATATATTTAAAGATAAAGCAATAAAATAGAAGACATAAATTAATGGAGATTAACGATATAGAAAAAGAGAAAAGAAATTAATGAAAGAATATTAGAGGGTTGTAGGAGAGGCTGGGATTTAGAGCATAAGCTAAGTTCTATAAAAGTTAAAAGTCACCTCCTCAATGAGACATAAAGAGGAAAGTAAAGGCAGGCATACATATGGATTAAATGGTGGTGTGGGGCTGAGAAAATAATGTGGATGCTGCTTGATACACTGGATTTTCTCCCAGTTGTAGGAGGCACTCAGAGAAAGGGGATGGTAGGGAAAGGCCATAAAGAGAGAGGCAAAAGCTTAAAATCATTGTTGAGGGGAATAGGAGAGGGAGCTGATCAAGATCAGGTCATAAGATTGCTGAACCTTGCCAAGGGAGATTTGTGGTGCCAACCATCCATATCATTGTGTAATTTTCTCCAAAAGTGCTCAGCAATTTCAGTGAGGGAGTGAGATGCTTGGGTTCTTCTAGATCTGAGAGTTTGCAGGGTAACAAGAGTTTGGAAGTTAAGACTACATGTTTGGGAGTATTTGAGCTAATAAACCATTGGGTCTAAGTTAGATAAAGAAGGAAATGAAGACACAAAGTGGGTGACAGGCTGAGTGTAAATTTAGGGACATAAGGGCTATATATTTTCTTGGAGAAAAGAAGCTAAAGGTTCTCAGAGTTAGGAGAATGTAGGAGAGTATAATGAGAGATTGTTACATCAGCATTTCAGATGGAGAGGTGGAAGTTTCCTCTTCTATGCAGAGGGGATAAGTAGATCCAGACTGGCCATAGTGACAGATATCAAAAGAGGGATCTTTACGTCAGTCCTAAAAGGTATGACAACATCCTCACTTTCTCTTCCCATTTCATTCTAGGAATTTCTTTTATGATCCTTGGGCCAGATAACTGAAAGATGGCAAAGGAGAAAGTGGGAATATGATTTATTCATTAGTTCTTTGTCAGTTTAAACCAATTCACTTCAACAAGTAGTTAATGCGTGAATACCAGGTACTAAGGTATTGCTGCGTGGTAGAGATTCAGTGTTTGCATTTGAGATCCATCATTCTGTTAACTTTGTGGAGAATAAATTTGGCTGGGGCTGGGGAGTGAGAGTGGGCACAAGATTGGAGGCAATAACAATTTGACTTCACCATTTAATAAGGCTATGACTTAGGAGTATTTATTTAACCTTTCTGTGTCTTAATCCCTTCATCTGTATAATGGGAATGCTAATAGTACATATCCTGTAGGTTTATTGGGAAATTATTTATTTATAAAGTGTTTAAAATATACCCTACAGATTTCATGGCTGGAGCAGGAAAAGTTATGAGCTTGGAATATCTTCAGTGCCTGAAAGTGAGGAAGTGCTCCCAAAAATATGAAGGCCTGTCAAAAGGTACATGAAGCCAGCTTGAAGAGGCTTCCATCAAAATAAATAAGGAAGTAATGGATTATTGTCTACTGAATAGAACAGGAATCCAAAAAAAAAAGAACAGGAATCCGTGAGTCTATAATAATAAATAGATAAATAAATAAGAAGAGAAAGCTCTTGCTTTTACAGTAGTAAGCCAGCTAATATAGAGGGAATAATGAAGTTTAAAAAAAATCACCATTTCCCGAGCCTGGGCAACATGGTGAAACCCTGTCTCTGCAAAAAAAAAAAAAAAAAAAAAAACAAGAAAAACACACACACACACACACACACAAAATTAGCGGGATGTGGCCGGGCACAGTGGCTCATGCCTGTAATCCCAGCACTTTGGGAGGCTGAGGCGGGTGGATTACCGGAGGTCAGGAGTTCAAGACCAGCCTGGCCAACATGGTGAAACCCCTGCCTCTACTAAAAATACAAGAAAATTAGCTGGGTGTGGTGGCACATGCCTGTAATCCCAGCTGCTCAGGAAGCTGAGGTCAAAGAATTGCTTGAGCTCAGGAGGTGGAGGTTTCAGTGAGCCGAGATCTTGCCAGTGCACTCCAGCCTGGCTGACAGAGTGATACTCTGTCTCAAAAAAAAAAAAAAAATTAGCTGGGTGCACATGTAGTCCCAGCTACTCAGGAGTCTGAGCGGGGAGGATAGTTTGAGCTCAGGAGGTCAAGGCTGCAGTGAGCCATGTTTGTGCCACTGCACTCCAGTCTGGGTGACAGAGCGAGACCCTGTCTCAAAAAAAGAAAAGAAAAGAAAAGAAAAAAAGAAAATCCTCATTTTGCAACATCACAGAAAGAAATTGATTCAGGCATGAATCATCAATGGATGCTAAATTTAGTGGAGCAAAGTTGATGAAGAACAGGATATTTATATGATATTGCAGTATCTCATCATAGATTATTTATTACAGTAGGAAAAAATTAACTATGCAGAGAAGAAAACAGACAATACCTTATCCAAGTGATCTAAACTAACATCACCAATAAAGACGATGTGCCTCCAATGTGACACTGTGAAAAGAACACATTCTCACTTCTTGGTCCTCCAGCCCTAAACGCACAACCTGAATGTAGTCACGTGACACATCACACAAATCCATATTGAGAGACAGTCTATAAAATATCTGGCCTGTATGCTTCAAAGGAAAGGCCAAGTAAAGATTCCACCTTAAAGAAGACCAAAGAGACATGAAAACTGTGATTTATGATCCTAGTCTGGATTCTGTAGTGGACAAATTTGCTATAAAGGACATTATCAGGGAAATAGATGAAATTCGAATATGGACTTGAGATTAGAAAAAGTATCAATGTTAATTTTCTCAATTTGGTGACTGTACTACATTTATACACTGAAGAAAATATACACTGAAAGGTAAATGAGTAAAGTAGCATTATCTATACAACTAACTCTCTTAATTGCTTAGGAAAAATATGGAGAAGAAGAGAACGAGAATACTAAAGCAAATATTGCAAACTTATGTAAAAATTGGTGAATCTGGGAAAAAAAGTTGTACAGGAGTTCTGCATACTTCTTGCAACTTTTTTGTACATTTGTAATTATTTCAAAGTAAAAGTTCTTAAAAGATGAATGTGCAGAAAAGAAAAAAAGCCTGACCCATCGAAAGCTCTCAACGAAAGTTAGCTATCATCATCACCATCATCATCAGTTGAGATATTCTTGCAGTGTTTCAAGTAAGAGGTGATAGAGAACCTCATTTCAGTCACCAGGCATTAGAAGTAGGAATGGAGTAGACAGGAAATATTCAAGCTAGCTGCACCAGAAATTCTGGCAATGATGTGGGGAGTATTCCATGATGTGAAATGCCACATGCCACTAGATTTATGACACATCACTTCAATGGACACAGCCCATGGCCAGTTCTTACCATGCAAAATGAATTTTTCTGTAATGTATTCCTCTGTGTGCTCAGCAGCATAACATTCCATCAAACTAGATGCAGTTGGCTTCTGTGTCCTACAGAACCTCTGTAGGAGCAGTAGTGGAGAGAAAAAGCTAGTTTATTTTCAGATGGACAAATATCTTCTTTAATCTTTTTTCTTCTCTTAGGGAGAGAACAAGAAGGAGGAGGAGCTAGAAAAAGAAAAAGCAGTGGGAACTGTCATGGGTGAATCCCAGAATGGGCATCCCAGATGACATCTGTCTCCATTCCTGCCATCTCTTCCTGGCTGCCAGCCACTTAGCCTCCAGGTGTTTGTGTCTAAGGCCAACTCTCTTTCCAGACTAGAAGAAAGTGAGGCAGCTCACCTTTTCATTTAGGTTTACTTTGGAAAGTTCTGTGGTTGAATATCAACATAGTGACTGATTTGTGGCTGTAAAGCTGTAGCAGCTCAGGTAGCACATGTAAGAGTGAGACTGGATGGAGAGACTGGATGAATTATGCCATCTTACCAAGGCATTGATTAGTTGATTAAGGCTTGTTTGAGCAAAAAAGTGAGTTATATCAGATATAGTTATATCAGATACACTGATACTCAAATCCCACCAGAGAACTCAGCAGGCCACCGATAACCCATTCACTTTTCTTCTCCCGTGACTTTACTCATCTTATTATTAAACAAGGAATGTCTTGGTCCACCACTGAACCAAGTTTAAGAGTCAACTCAAATGCCACTTACTTCTTGAAGCCCTTCATGATACTGTCAAGGATAATGGAAATATATGATTTCTCCCTTTCATCTATATAAATTATTTCCCCATATATACATTAACATGTCGTCAGGAAACTTAACAGAAATATGGTAACTCTTATTAAGTTTCCTTTAAGCATTTTTTTCTATACTTGTGCCTTAGAAAAATTGGAAGAACTAGAAATGGAAATATTGCAGAGTGAGAAACTTATGGGATGTTCGTTAGAGAGAGTATCATGAAGGAAAACATGAGATTAAAGACACTGCAACTATCTGAGAGGCCTGTGTAAAATTGTGTAAGCAAAATAAGGAATCTAATATTGAAATATGCAAATAATTTTACTTTTAGGAACTTAGACTCCTTTGTAGAGCATTAAATTTTATGCTATATTAAGTAGAGGTAATGCTGTTTTGTACATAAAAACTATCTTTGGATTATTTACCTTTCCTTTTCTTTCCGAAATTGTTGTCTTTTCAACTCCGTCTTTAGGGACAGACAAATGATCAGCTGAGTGGTATAATTAATAGAAGCACCAGTTTTAGAAGCTCTACTTCTGGAAGTAGAATAAAAAGGAGGTGTAACCCAGAGTTTAAGATATCCACTGATAATGAGAGTATTTGAGTGATGGTAAATGGCAAGGAGAAAGACTTAAAGATCTATCTAGAGACAAACCCTTATACTCTAGGCATGCTGCCAGATAAAGACTAAAAACAGCGTGTAAGATGGCAAGGAAAATGTGCTGTTTGGTTTCTTCATTGCCATAAAAGCCACTGAGAAGGGCTTAAAGAGATATGCCATTCCTAAATGGTAACATTAGACTTCTTGTTCTATGACTTGAGTGAAAAATTTTGCCATTAGGAAATGGGGACAAGGAATGTCATCTTCAACACAGGGTAGCTTTTTGGTCTATCTACTCGTGGTCAACAAAAGGTACAGTAAGTAAGGTCACAGAATGGTCACCCCACTTTGGTTCAATCCTGTTCTTGGACAGATCAGTAACTCAACGACGCTTTGTTTTTCTTTTGTGAAGCCTCTTCAGCCTTGATCATAATGATTTCATTAGCAGTGTGTGCTTGATTTTTGCACACCCACACAATGTTTTGTATTACCCAACAAACTTACAGAATGTAGCCACAGCTTCTTGCTCCAGGAAATGTCTATCAATTTAATTATTAAAACTAGTTTAATGTTTGGTGCCCTGTGAGCAGGATCTTTAAGATGAAATGAGCCAATCCACATTCCATTATTTCACTGACATTTAACATAATCCTTGCAGCTATCAAGCTATGCCTCCCAAATCTAAGACAATGAGTAAATGTTATTAGTTGAATCGGTGACTAAATCAGCTAAAATGGTTGCTTGACTAAATGAACGAGTTACTTGATACATCGTGAACACATTGAAGGAAATTGGAAGAAATGGAATTCTGGCTCCTGGGTCCCTAAAAATTGCTGAGTGTGTTTCCTTTTTTGTAAAATAGGTATATTAATATTTTGCCTAGATGTGTTACAGTAAAGATTAAAAATAAGTCAAGTAAAATATCTAGCATATAGCAGAGAATAAATGGTTGCTGTAACTTATTATGATTATTTATTAAAAGTTCAAGTTGCTTTGAAGAAATTAAGCAATTAGTTACTGGTCTATCTGGATCTTAGAAAACTCTAACTAGTACATTCAATCAACTTAAGATAATAGCAAGACGAAGTTTAAAGTTAGATTAATTCAAGTTGTTAAGCAGCTTAAATAGCAAGCTCACCATTTATTTTAGTTTACTTTTTATCTGACTTCATTTTTAGTTTGAGCTGTTTTATGAAATATTTTTTAGTAAATGGCTGATCTCACTGGTATTCTGCTGTAGTAAAAACTGAGTAAGATAGTAATACTGATTGTTTGAAGAGGGAGGAAGCTGTTGTTTCTTGTTCAACATTTTATGAAATGGATTGCAAATCCAGGCAGTAATCTCAAACACTGGAATCCCCTATACATTAAGAATCCTGGCAGTCTAAAGATTGTAAGCAAAAAGGCAATAAATACGTCAAAAGAAACTTTATAAATGGGTTTTTGCAAGCCAAGAAAACTGCCAAATAACTTGTAGGCTATAGATGTACTAATGCATTTGTCTTTCTGACCTTCCGATCTTGATTCGTTTTTTGATGCCATCGGCATCTCTAAGGTTACAATTTGGTGGAGATTCTGGATTGCAGTTGTGCTGTCAAAGGGTCATTCTTCCTGGTAATGAGGTAACTAGTAGTCCCTGGGAGAAAGGAGAAAACAATCAGGTCTTGAAAGCTGAAACATACTGAAGTGGAGAGTAGGTTCTTGGCAGAGGCCCAGCTCCTCTTTCTCAGAGCGTTTGTCATCATTGCAACAAAGAAGAAAATGGTGGGGTCTGCATAGACAGCTATAAAGTGGGGACCTAAATAACAAAGAAACACAGGCACCCAAATCCCATGAACTGGAATGTATTTGGAGGCTGTTTTTGAGAGCACTTTGTTTTTTCATTTACCATATTGTTGAGTCACATGTTAAGGATGTGGGTCGCATTAAAAAGAAGCATGATGCTTATTTTGAAGCAAATTATTATCAAAAGAGTATGCTTCAAAACATTTCTTAATTTCAACTTGAAGCGAAGTCATTTGACTTCGGAACATATGCCTTTGCTAAATTGTTGCCAAAAAAAGACAACTTAATTTTTGCATTCATTGCTTGCAAAACTGTTGATTCAAGATGTAATGGAAAGGTAATTCACTCATTATCGCTAGTGAGATTCACTTCATAAAGCCAAAGGTAAACTTGAATACTTGTCACATTTAGTCCAAATGAAGATTGTGACTAGCCTGTGAATCATATTTGTAATTTAAACCTAAATAAAAATAGTAACAATGACAAATAATTACAAAATACAGAATATATGTTAATATGTATAGTGCTATACATATTAGATCCTATAAGATATCTGAAAAATAATATTTGAGTAGAACATATGTCTAGTCATGTGCAACTCAATTTCATGGACCTTACAGGCACTAAATTCTCATCTACATATATTCTCTAAACTAGACTTTGGGCTTTATGACACAGTTTCTGCATTAAATTTTTTCCTGTCTTGAAGGTAAAGTTTGGATTATTTTTACAACATTTTATTTTATTATTTTCCTTAATGGCTAATATATTGACATGGTAAGAAACTCAAACAATACAAAAAGATATACAATGAAGATAAGCCTTCCATTCCCAGCCCCCAGTGGATTTCCTCTCCCTGACAGTTATTGTTAGCATTTTCAGCACACCATTCTAAGTGTATTATCTGAATATTTGAGTGTCTATTTCTATATATACACCATTCTTTTTCTTTTTTCTTTTCTTTTTTTCTTTCTTTTTTTTTTTTTTTGAGATAGGCTCTCGCTCTGTTCCCCAGGATGGAGTGCAGTGATCACTCCTCACTCCTCTGGAGTAGCTGGGATGACAGGCCACCACATCCAGCTAATTTTTTAATTTTTTTTTTTTGTAGAGACAGGGTGTCCCTGTGTTGTCCAGGCTGGTCTCAGTCCTCCACCTTGGCCCCCCAAAATGCTAGGATTACCAGCATGAGCCACCACACTTGGTCATTCTTTTTCGTATTAACATAGTAGCATAACTGGGTCATAATAGGAAGCAGAAAGAACATTCAAACTTGGAAAATTGGAGAACAGTTTACAAATAAAGAAATTATCAGCGAACATATGAATATAGGGGAACCACAAGGAGATAGTTTAGTAACCCAAGGTAGTATCAGTGGAGCTGTCACATCTATAGGCTCAAAGAAATGAGGAATGTGATGGCTATTGTTACCTGAACTTGGAAGGAAGAAGTCATGTAGGAGAAGAGTAGTGATACAGTTAGCCTAAGGCCAAAAGGGAATGAATGCTGTGACCTCATGCTCCTCTCCTCTGGTGTCATGCAGGGGTTCCCAGTGGCCAAATCCAACCAGCAGCCATGGGATCTAGAAGCCCAGTGGTATAGTCCATATAGGTTGGTCTCCACCAGCAAAGAACAGAGCAGAGAAACGGTAAGCAACTGGAAGACATCTGCTATACACGCTTCTGCTCCATGCTTTTTGCAGTTAAGGATATATGTTGGAGATCCTTCCATCCATCAACATCTATAGATTTCTATCCATTCTTTTGAAAGAGGTAATCTATTTCATTGTGCATAAAACATAATTTATTTAATTGGTCTTCTATTGCTAAACATTTAGATTGATATTTTGTGTTTTATGAACACAAACACTATAATAAATATGCTCGTATATATGTCTTCATGCATATGTGTTCTATATCTTTGATATAAATTCCTAAAATGGAATTCCTTCTTATTAATTTAGGTCAAAATGGAATTTTAGTGCTTATTTATCTCAACAGGAAAAAATGAAATTACTTTTACATTTGGGCATAAAGTTTTCAAAAACTGGTTGTAAGTGCTATTGCCCCAAATCCAAATTGTTTATTGCTTGAATATCTAAATTCTTTTTGATTTTTAGAATGGTATAAAATTGTAGAAGTTACAAAAATAACATGTACTCAGGAGCTAGTGAGCCTGTGCTGGAATCCTGGCACTGATGCATGACTGTGGGCAAATTTTATAACTTCTTTTTTTTTTTTTTTCGCCCTTGTCGCCCAGGCTGGAGTGCAGTGGCACAATCTTGGCTCACTACAACCTCTGCCTCCCGGGTTCAAGTGATTCTCCTGCCTCAGCCTCCCAAGTAGCTGGGATTACAGGTGCATGCCACCATGCCCAGCTAATTTTTGTATTTTTAGTAGAGATGGGGTTTCACCATGTTGGCCAGGCTGGTCTTGAACTCCTGACCTCAGGTGATCCAGCCTTGGCCTCCCAAAGTGCTGGGATTACAGGGATGATCCACTGCACCCGGCCTTATAACTTCTTTATGTTTCACTTTCCTTATCTGTAAAGCAGGTATACCAGGAATAACAGTAGCTACCTCGAAGGGCTTTGGAGGGGCTCAAATGAATTGATGTATGTAGATTGCTGAGACTAGTACCTAGCACTATGTAAAAGTTTTGTTGTTGTTATTGTGCAATAATGATCCTTTAACAGCTGCTTCTTCTTGCCACCACTTTTATAAAGACTTCTATTTGTCCCTTGTATACATCTTGCAAATATCTACTTTTCAGATCTTCTCACTTTTCTCTATGCAACTACTTACTTTACTTCTTTCAATATTTTTTCACTTATTTCTCCAAGGAACCTCTTCAAACTTGCCCTAACCTACCATGATATACCAATAGTATATCAGAGCTTTTTTATATGTTGTTTTTATTGATATATGTTTATTCATATATATGATGCTATAATATATATACATACACAAAACATGAGACCCACTACTCTGGTTAGTGGCTTTGGGTTTATTCTGGATCACACCAATGGCTAACTCAGTTGATCTCTGCAGTAGTAACAAATAATGCTTATTTAAACAGCATGCCTTCCAAAGGCCTTAGGTTTTGTTTGTTTGTTCATTTGTTTTGTTTTTACTAACATATTTGAGACTTACAGCATCTGCTAATTTATCTAATCTTCTCTTCAATTATTGTACTTTCAGCCTTCACCATAACTTCACGTAATGATTATATAAAATTACCCTTTCCTCTTATTTATCTCCAAACTAAGTTTTCCAAACTTTAAGGGGTACCTCCTAGTTCTGGAATTACAATTTTCATTAAAAAGTTGTTTCCTCTACCAAGACTGCATGATTTTGCAAACTAATATCATTTACTCTCTCCAAACAATCATTTTTAGATTTATCCTAATAATGGGAAAGAACAAAATTCAAATGGGCAGAGAAAATACAGTTTCCTTATTTTTGCTCTTGTCATGCTAACTTGAAGTCCATTCTGGTTTCTCTCTTAATCTGAGCCAATAGGGGTCATTAGATAGTCCTTAATATCCAGAGAAAAAATGCTTATCTCTCAGAAATTTTGGTCTCCCACCCTTCTGACCATCTCCTCTCCAACATGACATCTCAAGAAACTTTTGAATTCTTGTAGGAGGCGTAGAGGATAAGGCTTTTTATTTCATTGTCACTTGTCCATCTAGGCTGCCACTCACTGTGTTGGCTTTCGGTGGCCAAAGTCTACAGCTGGTATAATACATACGGTGGGTTCTCTCTGATTTATTGGCGCCCAGTGGTGCATTCTGACCTGCATGTCCTTTCTCAGCCCTTGCTGACTCCTCAGGCACTGCCACTGCCCGAGGCTCTGTCCAGTCAGCCTCTAGGCCAGATGGTCTGCCTTTGCCATGGAGTCACACCATCCTGTTCGGAATGGACCTTGGAACGTCCACTGTATTCATGCCACTTAGGAACTTAGAGGGACTCGGAAGAGCGAAATAAACCATCTGGTGGCCAGCTACACATTCTGGCTTGTTAAGTATCTCATGTTGGCATAGGACCATTCTCCTTCTGGTATTTTCTTCAATGTATCTGTATATATACCAGAAGACAACTTTCTCTGAAGGGTCACCTCCAAGTTGGGGATGAAGTATGGAGAAAGGGACCATTGAGGTACTTTCCTTCCCCTTCTCCACTCTTTCCATCTTCCTAATTTCTTCCATAATACCCTGGGTCTAAAAGGAGTAGATTGCTCCCTTTCACTGTGTCGTATCTTTCTTCTACCTAAGCCTTACAGGGAGAAGAAATATTCTCTGGGAGAAAAAGGGAAAATAACTTGAGCAGGTGCTCTAGGCTTGGTTCTTGAAAAAAATAAGAGAAAAAAGAATAATCTAGACATTCCTCTCTCAAGAAAATGGCTTTTTATGACCATTATAAGACTATTTTATGGAAATTTTCAAATTGATATTTCATTGATACAAAACTACATTTAAAATGTCAGGATCTGTACATTTTGTATCCTTTTGTAATTATCCTAATTCTCTTTTACAACCACCTGACCTCTTGACTTCTTCCTTACTAGGGGTTTCCTTGGGTCAATCAGAAAGGAGGTCATGAACTTAGAAAAGTAAAAGAAAAAAGCAGACTATTTCAGAATATTACCTCCAATACACTTACCTAATTAATTAATCTATTTGATAATACCTACATTCCTTATAGCAAATTAGGTAGAGCCTACTCTTAGATCTTCACATATTATCATTCTGTGACACCCCCACTGAATCTTTCTCAAGCTTCAACATATCTATCTTACCAAGGCACAACGATGGCACTGCAAGAAAGTGTTCCTGGTTCAGATGAATTATGACATCATGCTGTGGTTCAGAGAAAGGATAATGTCTTACTTTTTCCTGATAATACTTATTATTGTGCAGATCTCATTTTCTGTGATTCCCTATTACTGATAACTGATGCTGAGCATATGAGAGCTCAAAGCTCATTAAGGTACTTATCAGTGGGAATTCCACTGACTGCAACAGGTGGCTGTGGTGAGATGTTGGGAAAGAGGAAAGATAGAGGCAGGCATTAGTTTCCTCATTTACTCTGAACCTGTCATCAAATTATATTAGGTTAAGAAGCTAGAAAATGGTTAGCAACAGTTGATGAAATCAGCTTTGCCTTGTATTGACTCTAATTGAAACAAGTTGTAGAACCAACATTATGACAGGAATGTCAGAAATATAAAGAGGAAAAAAATACTATGTCTTCATGTTACCAAGTGAACTTTTTTTATTTTTTATTTTCCCATTCCTATTCATATTTATTATATCATTTGTAATAGATAAAATCTTACTGACAGTAACACTTTCAACATGAATTGGATTTCTCATAATATATTTATGCTCCAATTAAAGACAATTTGACCTTGTAAGATTAAAAAAACTTTTTGCCCTGAGAAGGTCGAGGATACAGTGGGCTGTGATTGCAACACTGCAATCCAGTCTGGGCAGCAGAGCGAGACCCTGTCTTAAAAAAAAAAAGGTTGGGAAAACCTTTAAGACTAACACATCAGGACTCTGACTAGTGTTTAAAAAAATTATGCTTTTTTCTTATGAAGAACTTATCACTGTAATTGGTCTTACTGTTAAAATAGCCTAATTAGTTGATGGGGACGATACTAATTTACCATGACAAATATATTAATTTCCTGATGTTGCTTTTTAAATAAACAGAATCAAATTATTTTTTATCTTAAAAATACCCATGAGATTATTTTTTGTGATGGTATATAAATGTCTTTAAGCTTTTGTCATTTAGTTATCACATCATTTCTAGTCTTTCCCAACAGCCTTCAAAGATAATTATCATTCTTGAAGATTTTACCGGGTATATTTGGCCCTTTGCTCTTTGAATTTTTGGCTTATTTGCGAACTAGTTGACATTTTTCTGATATTTAGTCTGCTTATCTATGAACATAATATATTTTTAAATTTATTTAGGTCTTCCTCCTACATGTCCTCAATAATAAATTATAATTTTCTCCATAGGAGTTTGCATGTTTGAATAATTTACAGTTTCTTTATATTTCTGTTGCTATAAAATTTGTAATGTTTTTAAATTTTAAATGAACATTGTTGGAGTATAATTTTTATACAATAAAATTTTAAGTGTACATTTTGATGAGTTTTGACAAAGGTATATACCAATATAATCACCACTTTAATCAAGACATACAGAACAATTCTTTCATGCTTATTTGTAGGCAGTCCCAACCTCCACCCCAGCCACAGAAAAACACTGGTCTTCTTTTTGCCATTTTGGATTTGTTTTGTCTCCTCTGTAATTTCATATAAGTGGAATCATACAGTGTTTATTCTCTTGTTTCTGGCTTCTTTGCTTAGCAAAATATTTTTTAGATTTACCCATTGTCAATGAATGAGTTCATTCTTTCTTATTTCTGAGTACTATTCACTACTGAATAGTATCCAAAATACTATTTGTTTATCCATTTAATTGTTGATGCAAATTTGATTGTTTTTAGTTTAGGGCTATTAAGAATAAAGCTTCTGGCCAGGTGCGGTGGCACACACATTTAAATCCCAGTATTTAGGAGGCCAAGGCAGGCAGATCACTTGAGTCTAGGAGTTTGAGACTAGCCTGGGAAACATGGCAAGACTCCTATCTCTACAAAAAAAATGCAAAAATTAGCCGGACGTTGTGGTGCACACCTGTAGTCCCAACTACTCAGGATGCGGAGGCAGGAAGTTCTTTTGAGTCTGGGATGTGGACATTGCAGTGAACCGAGAATGTGACACTGCACTCCAGCCTGAGTGGCAGAATGAGACCCTGTCTTAAAAACAAAAAAAGGAAAAACGAAAGAAAGGAAGGGAAGGGAAGGGAAGGGGAGGGGAGGGGAGGGGAGGGGAGGGGAGGGGAGGGGAGGGGAGGGGAGGGGAGAGGGGAGGGGGAGGGAAGGGGGGGACGGGAGGGAAGGTAAGGGAAGGGAGGAAGATGGAAGGAAGGAAGGAAAGAAAAGAAAAAAAGAAAAGAAGGAAGGAAGGAAGGGAAAAGAAAAAGAATAAAGCTTCTATGAACATTTGTGTACAAGAGTTTTTGTGGACATCTGGCCCTAATTTTAAGTCCAGAGTAGTATCATAAAAACAATCATTAATGTAGGACAGGTCTCAGTTTATCATCATAATATGCCTTGGTGTAATTTTTTTTTCATTCCACTTTGGATTTATTGGGCTTTTTTTTATCTGAAAGTTTACAATTTTCATCAAATTTGGAAAATGTTCATGAGTTTTTTTTTTCTGCTTTCCCACTTTCTCCTCTTTGGGATCTCCAATTAATCATATGTTAGAACACTTAAAATTGTCTCACAAGTTATTGAAGTTCTGTTTAAATTTTTCAACTTTTTTTACTCTGTGCTTTAGTTTCGATAATTTCTTTTCTACCTTTTCAAGCTTACCGATGTTTTTTTCTAGAGTGTATAATCAGTTATTAAGTTCATCTAGTGAATTTCTCATTTCAGAAATTGCATTTTTCAGCCCTAGAAATTTCTACTTTAAAAATCTTTCATTGTCTCATTATGTTCATGTTTTCCTTTAAATCCTTGTACATACGTATAAAGCTGTTTTTAAGATCTTGTTTGCTAATGCCATCATCTCTGTCATTGCTGAGTTGTTTTTTATTGAATTGATATTCTCTTGGCTTTGTGCCATGTTTTTCTGTTTATTTTTGTGTCTAGTTTTTTTTTTTATTGGTTGCTAGATATTGTGAGTGTTATACCATTGAACATCTGAATTTTTATGTTTTTCTTTAAAGAATAGTGTGCTTATTTTTGCAGGTCATTAGTTACTTGTAGACCAGCTTGATCCTCTTGAGTCTTGGTTTTTAGCTTTGTTAGGGTAGGTCTAGAGCATCCCTTAATCTGACGCTAACTTAGCCCTACTGCTAAGGAATGATCTTTCTGCAGACTCTACTGAATGACCTAGGTGTTCAAAAAGTCCTCTCCACTGTGACTAGCCAGAACTCTGTGGTCTCCCAGCCTTTTGGGGGCTCTGTGAATTGTTCAGCTTACAACTTCCTTGTAGTTGCTCTTTGCCTAGCCTCATGAATTATCATCCTATATAGATAAACAAAATGGTATATAGCGAAAAACTCAAGAAGACTTTTATGCAGATTTCTGGAACTTTATTTTGTTAATATGGTGAAATATATTAATTTTCAAAAGTTAAATCATCCTTACACTTCTGGGGATAGACTCAAGTTGTTTATAGTGTCTTTTTTCCTCCACTGCATTTAATATGCTAAAATTTTATTTAGACATTTTCCATCTATGTTAATCAATAAAACAGGCCCATAATTTCCCTTCTCATACTCTTCTAATCTAGTTTAGGTACTAAAATGATATTAGACCCATAAAATACACTGAAGAACTACTGTTTTGCATAATAATTGAAGTGTATTTTTCTTTGGTAGAATTTTGCCTGAACCTGTTTTTCTGCATAAGCAAATTTTAAATAGCTGGTTCAATTTCTTTAATTTTCAAATTTATGACTTCTTCATATTCTTTTAAATAAAGGCATAACATATGTAAGGAAAGAGCATCAAGCTTAAGTGTACAACCCGATACATTTTTACATATATTATACGTTACGATAATACATTATATAGACAAATACATAGATACAGAGAGCCATCTACCAAACAGATAAAGACTTAGAACATTTCTACTACTCAGAAGGTTCCTTAGCATAATATCCTGAAGGTTTATCCATGGTGTCACATGTTGCAGAATTTACTTCTTTTTAAAGGCAGGATAATATTCCATTACATGCATATACCACATTTTCTTTATCCATTTATCTGCTGATGGACATTTAGGTTGTTTATGTATCTTAGTGATTATGAATAATGCTTCAATGAACAAGGGAGTGCAGATATCTCTTTGAGATCCTCATTTCAATTCTTTTGGATATATACCCAGAAATGAGATTGTTTGATCATATGGAAGATATATTTTTAATCTTTTGAGGAAATTCCATACTGTTTTCCTTAGCAGCTGTGCCATTTTGCATTCCCACATTATGCTAAGTGAAATAAGCCAGTCACAGAAGGATACATGCTGCGTGAGTCCAGTTACATGAGGTACCTAAAATAGTAAAATTTATAGAATCGAAGAGTAGAATGGTGGTTGCCAGGGTGTAGGGCAGAGGAGAAGGTGGTGGAGTTGCTAATCCATGGGCTGAGAGTTCCAGTTAAGCAAGATGAGTACGTTCTAGAGATCTGCTGTAAAACATTGTATCTATAGTTAACAAAAATAATACTGTATTGCACTCTTGAAAATTTTAGAGGAAAGATCTCATGTTAAGTGTTCATACCACAGAAAATGTGGCATTATTTTTAAGGTTTTTTTTTTTTTTTTTTGCACCTTTCTCAATTAGTACCTTACCTCCTACTATGCTGAATTCTATCACTGTAGATAGTTTTGTCTCTTCCTAAAATTCTTATAAATGGAATCAAATAGTGTGTGTGTAAAGCGTTTAGCTTCTTTTGCTCAACATAACATTTGTGAGATTCAGCAGTGTTGTTCTGTGTACCAGTAAGTCATTCTTTTTTATTGCCCTATAATATTCCATTATTTAAATATAACAAAATTCATCCATTCTCCTGTTAATGGACATTCGAATTGTTTCCTGTTTGGAGCTGTTATAAATAAAGCTGTCACAAACATTCTTATACAAGCTTTATAGTGAAAATATGCACTCATTTCTCTTAGGTAAATACTTAAGAGTGGAATTGTTGGGCTAAATGATAGGCATGTATGTAGCTTTAATAATACACTGGTCCCCCTTTATCCATAGAGAACATGTTCCAAGACCCCCAATAGATACCTGGAACCTCAGATAGTACTGAACTCTATATACGCTATGTTTCTTCCCATACAGTCCTATGAAAAAGTTTAATTTATAAATTAGGCATAGTAAGATATTAACAACAATACCTAATAGTAGAACAATTATAACAATATACTGTAATAAAAGTTATGTAAATATGGCCTCTCTCTGTCTCTGTCAAAATATCTTAACATTTTCAAACTGTGGCTGACTATAGATAGCTGAAACTGTGGAAAACAAAACCATGGGTAGGGAACTATGGTCTTGCCAAACAGTTTTCCAAAATCATTGTATCAATTACACTCATGCCAGCAATACATGAGGGGAAGAATTCTTCCACAACCTTGCCCACCCTTGTAATGTCACTCTTTTTAATGTTAGTCATTCTTGGGGGTATGTACTAGTATTAAGATATTACTTTGGTTTTAATTTGCATTTCCCTGATTTGGAATGATGTTGTGTACCTTTCTGTACTCTTAGTATTTATTTGAATATTCATTTTTTTGAAGTGTTTCTTCATGTATAGGATTTTGTTATTGTTATCAAGTTCAAACTAATAATCAGAGAACGTGGGTCTTTTTTGTTTTTGTTTTTGAGTTTTTTGATGCTTATATTTTGATATGTATAGAAGTTTGCTTTGTGACACTTTTTTTGGTTACAATTGTGTGTTTGTAAAGCATATACTCTAATTATTGGGTTGTTCACATCTTCTACATTTTACCTAATTTTTATTTTCCTGAATTACTGAGAAAAGTGTGTTAAAATCTTCTATCATGTTTATGGCTTTTTCAATTTCTTTTTGTAATTCTGTCAATTTTTTACTTTATATACTTTGAAGCTATTTATTAAATACATACGTGTTTTAAATAGTTATAACTTCCTGGTGAATTTTTTTTTCTTTTTTAACAAGAAGGGAAACCACTCAGACTGAATTCTTTCCCTCTTACTCTCCTGGAGGAAGAGAAGAACCATCATCAATGGTACATGGTGGTTGCAGTGAAGCAACAAGAGTCTGCTTCATGCTCAGGCAACAACACTGAGACTCCTCCTCATGGCTTCCAGCGCTCTACATGTTTAGAGAAACTTTTCTAGTAATGAACTGTATAGAATGATCATGATTCTTGAAAGTATCGTCTTGAATTTTTCTTTTTATCATTATTTGTCCCTCCCCTCCCCTCCCATCCCCTCCCCTTTTTTCTCCTCTCCTCTCCTCTCCTTTCCTTTCTCTGTACCTGGGCTGGAGTACAGTGGCGCAATCCCCACTTACTGCAACTTCCACCTCCCAGGTTCCAGAGATCCTTCAGCCTCAGCCTCCCGATTAGCGGGGATTACAGGCACCCGCCACCACACCTGGCTAATTTTTTTGTATTTTTGGTAGAGATGGGGTTTCACCATGTTGGCCAGGCTGGTCTTCAATTCCTGGCCTCAAGTGATCCTCCTGCCTCAGCCTCCAAAAATGCAGGGATTACAGGTGTGAGCCACCATGCCCGGCCTTGTTTGGTTTCTTTCTTATTTCCAATAATGCTTGATGCCTGGTGTGACTACAAATATATTCACTTTATTTTGGCTAGTAGTAATATTTGCATGGGATGCTTTTTCGTCTTATACTCACAACATTTCTGTGCCCTTGTGTTTTAAGTACACCACTTGTAAGCAACATATACTTTGATTTTATTATAGTTTTAAAATACAATCTTCCATTAAAAAATCTGTCTATTTTCAATCTGTCCATTTTAAAAGTTAAACTTTTAACTGGAGAGTTTAGTATAATTAGTGATGTATTTGGATTTTTTTTTTTTTTTTGTCAGTTGAAACCCCAGAAGGAAATACATGGCATCATTTGTAAAAAACAAAACAAAACAAAACAAAACAAAACAAAACAAAACAAAAAAAACACTTACAAAAGTACAGTCTGGGTATGGGAACACTAAAAGTAAAGTAACCCAGAGCTCATAATGGCAGGCTTCATTTCCACCAAAAGTGCTGGGGGAATGAGAGAAAGGAGTAGTTACTGGGACCTAGAGTCAGAGAAGGCTATGTGTAGAGTGACCTGACAAGAACTGAGACCTTTGATTAAGGAATCAGCCAGTCTGATGTAATCCTGCAGTGAGAAAGCTGGGGAAGTGAATACTCAACCTCACTTTTCTTCTTTCTGATCTTCTACTCTTCAGAAACAAGAGAGCAAGGAAGTCTCTGATTTTGTCCAGGCCACACAGCAGGGTAGAAAAGTATATACAGATGGTGAATCTGGAAAGGCAAACAAGGATACCCATTCCACATGTCTACTGTATTAATTTGTGTTTTCTATTTATCCTTTTAAAAATGTGCTTTATTTAGGTATGGTTGGCATGCAATAAACTGCACATAAATAAAACATACATGACAAATTTAGACAAACATATACACTCTTGAAACCATCACCACAATCAAGATAGTAAATATAACCATCACTCCCCCCAAAATTCCTTATTTTCCTTGGTTAATCCTTCCCCATGGCTCCTAACCTCCATGACCAACAATCACTGATCTGCTTTTGGTCATAATAGTTAAGTGTGCAATTTCTAGAATTTCATATACGTGAATTCATATTACATATATATTTTTTGTCTAGCTTCTTTCAGTGAGCATAATTATTTGAGATAATTCATGTCGTATGTGTCAATAGTTCATTGCTTTTAATTGCTGAGTAGTATTCCTTTGTATGGATATACCACAAATTGTTTTTCTGTTTACCTTTTGATGGACATTTTGGTTGTTTTCAGCTGTTGGCTATTACAAATAAATCTATGAACATTTGCTTTCAAGTCTTTCTATGGACATATCCTTTCAATTTTTTAAAATTAAATACCTAGGAGTTGAGCTGGATCATATGGTAGTTGTATATTTAACTTTTTAAGAAACTTCCAAGTTTTCTACCAGCAGTATATGAAAGTTCCAGTTCCTCCACATCTTTGCCAACACTTGGTGTGGTCCATCTGTTTTATTTCAGCCATTTTGATAGTGGGCAACGGTGTCTCATGTGGTTTTAATGTGAATTTCCTAAATGTCTAGTGCTATTGTGCATCTTTTCATGTACTTTCTTGTAATTTATGTCTTCTTTGGTGAAGTACCTATCTAAATCTTTTGCCCATTTAAAAAATTTGTTTTTTTGTTTTCTTATTATTGAGATTGGAGAGTTCCTTATATATTATGGACACTTTTTTTTTAATCAGATATATGATTTGCAAAGATTTTCTTCTAAACTGCAGCATGTCTTTTTATTGTTTCAGCAATGTCTTCCAAAGGGAAGAATTTCATATTTCCTATGAAATCCAATCTATCTGCTGGGCATGGTGGCTCACACCTGTAACCCTAGCACTCTGGGAGGTTGAGGTGGGTGGATTGCATGAGCCCAGTAGTTTGAGACCAGCCTGGGCAACATGGGAAAACCCCATCTTTACAAAAAATACCAAAAAATCAGCTGCGCATGATGGCACATGCCTGTAGTCTCAGCTACTTGGGAGACTGAGGTGAGAGAATCACCTAAGCCAGGGAAGTCAAGGCTGCAGAGAGCTGTGATTGCAGCAATGCACTCCAGCCTAGGAAGTGAGGGACCCTATCTCAACAGAAAATAAAATTTCAGTTTATCAACTTATTCTTTTATACATCATGCTTTTGATGTCACATATGAATAAATTGTTGCCTACCCCAAGGTTGCAAAGTTTTTCTCTTATATTTTTCTCTAGAAATGCTATGGTTTTAGATTTCACATTTAGGTTTATGATCCATTTGAGTTAATTTTTCATATGGTACAGAGTATAAATTAACTTTCATTTTTTAAATAGAGATATTAAATTGTTCCTGCATCATTTGTTGAAAGACTATCTTCTCTCCAATAAATTGCCAGTCCACTTTTGTCACAAATATGCAAGTCTGGCCAGACGTGGTCTATTTCTGGACTCCAGTCTGTTCTGCTGATTTGTCCATCTTGGTAGCAATACCATCAAGTCTTGAGTACTATAACTTTATATTAAGTCTTAAAATCAGTTATTAGTCCTTCTGCTTCATTCTTCTTTGTAAAAGTTGTTTTCGCTAGGCCTTGCTTTTAAAATTTGTTAGGTGGGAACAGCAGAATGCTCAATTTAGTGCTAATTATTTCCCACTAATGGTAGAAGACCCTTCCAAGTAGTCTGTAAAATGCACGATTAATTTTGCATTTTCCAGTATGGTTGCTGGATATAGAAATTCTTTCTGGCCCCGTGTGAGCACCTGGTACTATTTCCTCTCATCGTTTCGGATTGTCCTTTTCCTGGCATCAGCTAATTTTCTTGTACACGTATTGATTCACATTTTGCTGAATACTTGAGGGCATCCTCTATCTTTATTTTACTTTAGGCAATATTTCCTCCCAAGATTTATCAGGAAGATTACTAAATAATAAGTCTTTTAGAGAGTGTGTATAATATGTGATTTAAAGCAAAAATAATGTAACTTTATTTCCACTGGATGACTTACAAAATGTTTCAGAAAATGGAGTTCTGATGCCATTTTGGTCCTCAGGGCATATGGATAGATTCAACACAATGATTATTCAGTATCTTGAGTCAATCTGGTTAGTGACTAACAACTTTTCCTAATAGAATTCTTGATTCTCACCCTGGCCAATCCTGCCTTGTCCAACCATAAAAAATCTGGTTAATGTCCTAATAATACTAGAGAGCTCTTTCTGTCTTTTTCTGACAAATTGCTTAGCACAATCAGAGCAGTTCCCTTTAGACTAGCAGCAAGAAATAGTGCTTTCTGTTCCTCTGTCTGATGGTTCATTTGGCTTATTATTTTAAATTGGGCATAATAAGCTTCCCAGGATGATTTTCCTTCGGCGTTGACTGGTCTTTGCATTGGCTGATTACACAAATTGACCATATTGCCACTTGTTTCTGGTTCTTGAGGCTAGAAACTTGATTTGGGATTCCATGATGGAAAGGAATATTGTGATCCTTCTGGCTTAAAAGAGACTTTCTTTGCTTGACTGTTAGCTGAAAAGGGATCTAAACAAAGTTGCCAGAAATTTCCTTCTCTTCCTCATATTGCCTTTACTGTTTATTATTCATTTTATTAAATCAATACTTTGATAATTAATGCTTCTACACCTGCTACATTCTTGATATTTTGTTTCTCCGCTTGCTGAATTATGCGTTTGCTAATATAGTTTGCCTCTTTGTTTTTTGTTTTATTTTTTTAAGCTGAAGAACTTTAAGCAAGTGAGGTTCCTTTTGCAAAGCCTAGTTGGCATGTGCCATTTAGTCTGAAATTTTGGGATTTATTCTGTATCATTTTGTATAATATTAATTGATTTGAAGTTAATTGAAATTTCTTTAGTTTCTGAGAATCCACATTGAGCTTTAATGCAATAAAATAAAAACATCTTAATTGTTTGCCTCGCTCATTCATATGTGTACATTTAACAGTGTGAACTTCAAAGTTAAATTATTGGGAGGGTTCAATCAAGGAGAGGGCATTAAGATGTATTTCCTTTCCTTCTGTCTCTTTCCTAAGAAGACTGTTCCAATTAAGTATAATAGAAAACAATGTATAGAGCACAGACCTTTACTGCAGCAAGTAACATAGAATAGGCATAGGAAGTCCCAGTGATGTAAGCAGTAGACATCTCTTGGATGTTTTCTTGTCCAGCTTCCATCATGTTTATCACCTCTTACTGCTCTTATCTTCCGTAAGATAACTTCTACTGAGTAACAAAAGCTATCTCAAATCATTTAATCATCCAAGGGCCAGCAATTACTCTTATACCTAGCTATCTATGAATATGGTTATTAATAACTTCTATAATCTAAACTCACTCATGAGTTTAGAGCTTTTTAATTCTTGGAATAATGCCCCTTTAGAAATTAATTTTGGGGCATCCATTAGATAATTTCCCATTAAATGACTTATTCTTATTACTTCAACATTCATCTGTCAGAGAATATAAAAGGAGTCACTTCTGATTTTACCTGAGATTCTTACTTCCCGAGGTAGCCAATAACCAATCTTGGGGTGGGGAAAAAAAAGAGCAAGAAGGCAAAATACCTGGACTAACTTTGAAACCTGGCTTTTATACATGGGGACCTCATTATCTAATTACTGCATATAAGTTCTAAAGTTATTAGGCAGTCTAGGGAAAAGTGGTCACTACCCAGAAATGTCCATTACTGAACTAACCACTTATACAACTAATCCCCATCCAACTAGCTCTCCTGGCTTAGCAGAACATTTATATCAGCCTATTGTGCCAATGTCTTGGTTAGTCTCTCACTGACTATCAAATATTATAAAAAGCCAACAATGTGATACAATATAATACAAATTGACTGCAAAGAGAAATTATGCATATTTCAAAAGTTGTAGAATTTTATGAAAGAATGAAAGTAATGTTGGTGAGCTGCATAAATCGCATTTTAAGCCACTATTTGACATATAGGGATCTGGCAGAGTTAATTTAACAATCAGAGAAGAGAAGGCCAGGCGCGGTGGCTCACGCCTGTAATCCTAGCACTTTGGGAGGCCAAGGCGGGTGGATCACGAGGTCAGGAGATCGAGACCATCCTGGCTAACAAGGTGAAACCCCATCTCTACTAAAAAATACAAAAATTAGCCGGGAGTGGTGGCGGGCGCCTGTAGTCCCAGCTACTCGGGAGGCTGAGGCAGGAGAATGGCATGAACCCGGGAGGCTGAGCTTGCAGTGAGCCGAGATGGCGCCACTGCACTCCAGCCTGGGCAACAGATCGAGACTCTGTCTCAAAAAAAAAAAAAAAAAAGAAGTTAAAAAAAAAAAAAGAATCAGAGAAGAGAAATCAAGAAGGAGGATGGCTAAATAGAGAATGTGAATATCAAAGTCTTAGTAAGACCCTCAGAAAAACCTAATTTTAAAAAACTTCAAATATTTTCCAGGTGATAGTCTTGTGTTGCAGAAGTGAAATGTGAAATGATGGCTGTATTATATTGCCTTACAATTTTCTTGGGAAAATTACCACAAAAGTCAATACTTGATTTACTCTTCTTGATTCTGAGTACTGCATTTAATTATAAAATATATTTTGTTACTTATAAAATAAAATGCATGTGCTTCAATAATTTTTGCTTTAATTTTTACAATTGTTCTCAGCAAATCCTTTTGAAATATGTTTTTATCAAATTATGGTTCCATTTTAAGTGGATTCACTGGGAGATGCCTTTTGCTGACACCAATTAACCCTGGTCAATGAGAACCTCTCAGGCAATGAAGTGATCCATTTTCTTCTTCTCTTTCACCGTGTTAAATCAAAGTTTAGCCTAAAGCTGCTTCCTTACATATTTTAAGTTCGGCCTAAAGGTTTTTTGTACATCATGAACTCTAACAAGTAGATGTACAAACAAACTGTAACCTGCACTTGTGCCAATCACTGAGTTTTGGACAGTCAACTGTAGCCAACTGTTTTAACTGCGTTCAAATAAGGCAAATGCCGAGCTGTAACCAATCCAGCTGCTTCTGTACCTCACTTCTGTTTTCTGTACCTCACTTTCCTTTTTCTGTCCATAATCTTATCCACCACGTGGCTGCGCTGGAGTCTCTGAGCCTATCCTTGCTCAGAAGGCTGCCTGATTTGCGAATCGTTCATTGCTCCTTTAAACTCATTTAAATTTAATTCAGGTGAAGTTTTCATTGTATCAACTCTCCTCCACTCTCCACTCCATCCCCCATTTAGCTCATTGCTTTCTCTACCTCTGTCCTTGCCGTTGTGTGATTTTCTTCTTTCCTAGCTATCATCTCCTTTGGTGAGGCTCTAGCTCCCGGAAAACCAGAAGGGTGAGTGCGTGTAGTCAGTCTCCTGAGATGCTTGTTGAACTGCTGACATCTTTGCAATTTCACTCTATTAGGAAATACGGAAAATACATTTTTATGTTTATATATCTACCCTTATTCCTAACCATTTGAAACAAATCATATTACATGAAGGCTGGTTTACTTTTACTAAATCTTCTTAGGAAGGATAAAAATTGCTATAGTGATAATTAGCTAGCCCCTCCTTAAGGAGAAAAATTGAGGCAGAAAGTTCCAGAAGGAGAGAGTAAGAGGGTCAGGTCTTTAAAAATGTCACCTGATCCCTTTTGAGAATCAGTCTTGAGATTTGTACATGGTAAATGCTCAATAAATATTCACAGATGGGCTAATTGGCAAATAAGAAGCCAGTCCTAGGACCCAGTGTTTTCTCATATTGTCAATTCACTCTAGAGTAAAGTCATGAAAATGCCTGGGGCACAGTGCACACTGCTTTTGTTGATTGGGGCTTAGATTATTTGCCAGATTGATTGGTGTTTCTCAACCACACAGGGAGCTTTAAATCCTGATGACCAGGTTGCACCCCAGACCAAACCTTTGGGGAGGGAACCAGTGCTAGTACATATAAAGCTCCCTTGATTATTTCAGTGTGTAGTCAAATTGGAAAACCATCTTCTTAGATGATGATATTTCTATGCACTTTCCTTATGGCTCTGAGGTCTCAAGTTTTCCTTTTAACTTTCTCTTCTTCTTTTAAAATTACTTTTACCCCAAAGAAAAGGCATGATGAAGTCCTTATAACTTTCTGCAGCAAGCACCAATACAGGTAATTTGACACTGATGGGGAGGCTCAAAATTGTCCTGGGAGTATGACGAGGCAGAGTGCTCATCCTGGTGGCTGCACTTATCTAATTTAGCACTGGGATCAGGTTGAAGTCTTTTTCACATACACAGTTCTCAGGTGGACCTGCCTCCACTTCTCTTCCGTGTTACAACTCTGATTACTATGAACGCAGACAGCAGCTCTTTGAAAGGGTGCCAGGGCTTGGAGACTGACAGAGGAGACATCCCTCCTGCAGCTGTGCTCTTTCTCCTTGGCTCCTTCTTGTGGCTGCTGTCAGGCTCACTTCTTGAGATGTTAAGAAAGAAATATCTCTCTGGTTTTCTTCTCCCCAACCCTCACTTTTTTTTGGGTGATATGCAGCACAAAACAGTCTAGAAATATTCTTCCTATGCCAAACCACGGTCAAGTGTGAACCTAGAAAACACATGAAGCAGACAAAATTCCTGCCCTGGCAAGAAGCCTACATTTTAAACTGCACATTGAAAAAAGCATTCACTAGGATGTAATGTAAACATTGACTTACAAGCTTTGGTGTGCTCCGTGTTTGTGTTGTATAAGTAGCTTGTTGAAACTGAAGGGGAAAGAGATTTATAATCTTACTTATACAAGTCAGGCAATGTTCTGGTGGGGGAAGAGGGATTTTTAGGAGCTCTTTAAGTGAGGATAATGTGAGTATTTGGTCTTAATAAGCAGTGAAATGAAACAAGAGGGTAACATTTAAAAAAAGATTCATTTACTCAGGAAAGCCAAGTTAATGTATTAAATAATGGTATAGAGGTGTAAACTATGTCTTATGCTACTACTAAGCAAAAGACAGTTGCAAATTCTTCTATATCCATTCATTTAAAATGATATTTTTGACATAATAAACATAGCTAACATTTATTGTGTGTTTAGTGTGTATAAAACATATTTATTCTTCAGGAAAATTCTATGTGCTAAGCTACTATACCCACTTTACAGATGAGGCATTGAGAAGTTATGTTACTTGCCAAAGGTCACACAGGTAGTAAATAGCAAAGCCAGAATCTCGACTTACAGTCCAGCTCTGGATGCCGGGTGCATTAAGTTGACTTTGATTGTTCTGTGTTATTTTGTTTAGTATAACTGCTGATATTGCTTATTCTACTTTCTTGCAACTGAAATAAAATCTTGTGGGTCGAGTCACTTAATTCCACTGGGTTCATTTGAGATGAATGATAATTACTAGTGGCATCTAGTGATGTTTATTCTGCTGATCTGATATAACAAATGGAGAATTTCTGGCAAAACATTGGAGTATCAATTAATTGATTTATTCACAAGTGTTCATTTTCCTGAAGTGAAAATTAGATTTTGTTCTTTAATAACTATTTTTTCTTTGATAAAGATAGGATAAATAACAGCTAGTAGGTAATTATAATTTATTTAATTTCTACAAAATAGCTAACTCAAACCCATTTGGAAATGATAAAGAGAGGAAATTTTACATGGATAGTAGGAAGACTACAATAGCTTGAGGAAATCTAGGAAAAGTTATGCAAATGGATGTAGATGCTAGTGAAAAGCTCCTTAAAACATGTAGCAAATGTAGGTAGACTTTCCTATAATCAGTTCAATAGGCATTCAACATTTTTTGTATGTCACAGTTACAATTGAGGACAGTATCTTAGAAATTCAGAATTTAAAGATCTGTAGCAAGTAGTAGAATACCTGGTCCTTATTAGGTACAGGTTGAATATTTGTTGAATGGTTATTACAGAATAAATTAAAATCACTGCCGCAAGACAGAAGGAAACAGGCTCAAACTTCTCTTTTTTTAAAACAATTTTTACTTCCATATTTTCTACCCAAAATATATGTGGTAGATATCACCAATGAATATTAATTGAGTGGGTCAGATTCAGCTACTCAACATTTCAATTAAAAGATCATCCTGAAAGAAGATGGTAACCACATTTCTTCTAATTTCCTCAGGCAATATAATCAACTACGTTCTGAGTTTCCATTCCTGGTGTTAGTGTTGTTTGCCTTTTCTAGGTAATCTTCTTTTTTAACTTGATTTTTGTTCTTTAATTGTTTAAAATATATCACCCACTTTCAACCTCATGAAAGAGCACATATGCACGTGGGGCATTTTACCAAATCACCTAATATCAGTGCTTTTTCTTTTTAATTATCTACTTTTTAGAAGAGATTAGTAATAGTACCAAAACACCATTTCTCCTTTTCTTTCTTTTCTAAATGGCCAACATGTAGGAAGTTGAGAGTCTCTGGTCACTCCTTCCGGACACACACAGACACCAGCATCCAGCCTCCTTTTTAACTCAGCATTTTCCATTTTCCATGTGATGCTTTGAATCCAGGTTATCCTTTCTGCTCTTTCTATTCAACCTGATATTGAGACTGGCCCAAGCAGAAGCAAAACCAAACAAAACCAAACAAACAAAAAATCAAGTTGAGTGTCCAGCATCCTTGTCAGCTCCTCTGAGACAGTGGATGGCACTTGGGAAATCAGAGGTGACAATCTTGTGCTCTGGTTTCTGTCCTGTCATGATGGAGATAATAATACCTGTCGCCGAGTAGTTGGTGAAACTCAGGTGAAAGTTATTGTGAATAATGGCCACACAACTGCATGGCTTTAAGCCAGTCCCTTGTTGAATGAGAAGCAAAATCTAATGAGGAGAGTGACTCTCTCTGAAAATGAGATCTTAGGTTTAACAGCTGCAATTCCAAACCTGAAATGGAAGACACGTAGGGCTTTTCTTTGCCTGAGCTTTTGGTTGGGGCAAGAAGTGCCCTGAAGTTCGAATTTTCAGTCTGTATCTCAAAGGTAATGTCTAGAAATCAATTTTCTGCTTGTCCTCTTGTTTAGTCAAGGGGAGAAATTTGCTGCTTATGAAGGGTTGAGGGCCTGACACCACTTCAAGAGAGCTCTCCAGGACCACAGGTTAAGGAATCTTCTGTGTAATCTCGTCCTCCCCACACTGCAGACAGCCTCAACCTTGACCTAGAGGGAATTTCCTTTCTAGAGGAGAGCAAGGAAATTCTGTTTCCATGTTAACAGAGGGAGGTCTCCTCCTGTCACTGACTGCTGCTGTTAGCTTTGTGGGCTCTGGGAGCCCAATTATGTGTGGAAACATTATAAAAAGGAGCCAGTGCTCAAACTGGCATGCAGAAGACACGGACAAAGATTCCGTCAACAAATAATGGAACGAGCTTGTGTGTTGGTACACACATTTGTGGTTTAGAAGATTACCTTTCAAAGTGGACTTACTGTGCAATTGGAAATGAGCTGAGACCCCCATTTCTATACCTTTCCTGCTTGGATGGTCTGGATGTCATCGACACAGGCAGCAGAGAAAATAACAGCAGGGTTAACTGTTCATGCAAGTGTAATAATAGTCTTTAACAGAAGAAGAGTAATTACCTTTGTCTAGTTTTCCCTGCTGTAAAATGTAATAAAATAGAGACCAGTGTCTACTGCTGATATGCACCATGCTTCTCTTCTGAAATACACGCCAGTGACTCTGAAACACCCTTTGCTCACAAGCTAAATTCACATCTTAATTTTGAAAAATCCATTACTGTTGGGTAGATTCCCTGAATGCATGTGACAGCTCTCAGGCCAGTGCTATTAGGTGAGAAATCTCAAAGCCGTGAGAGATTTACAGCCTGGGAGATCATAGAGCATGGGTGGGTGCAGTCCCATCCCCCATCGATTCTCCAACATCACGATGACAGGAGGTATCTATGTAGCAGAAGGAAGAGCTCAGAGGGGTGGCTTCATTTGGAAATAGAAGCCCCTGTTAGCAGCCGGAAGCAGTGGTGCTGAAAAGCAATCGCTGGTGTCAAGAACTTTCTTAGCTAAGCAGTGCAGCTGGTGGCAATAAATAGCATTCTAATAAAGGAGGATGTTCAATCCATGACATAAGTACATACTGTTTCAACTACCAAACATAATTTATGAGGCTGCATATGTCTGAAATGGATTCCCCCTATACATTTATGAATAAAAATGCAAAGATTTCAAAAGGAGGAAAAGATCTGCATTTTAAATCCAAGTAAAATGGGAAGATCAATGAGAAGTACACTGCTTTTTAAAAGTACACTATGATACATAACATTTTAAAGATGTGTTGGGTGTCATATTGTACAACTACCTCCATTCCTAAGAAAGATGGATACTATTTTCTATGATAGTGAATGCTATATTTATGACAAGGGGTCTTATAACACTCCACCTCTTCCCAGAAGCTGCAAAAAGGCAAATGCTTACATTGAATATCTTGGACCTTACTTTCGAAAACATGAGCACATGTTCTTACCTAAGCCATTGATGAAACCCAGTCGATTTCACATAATCCTTAAAACAGTTCTGAAGGAACTTGAAAATGATGAACCAGAAAAGCCATGTGTACTATTAGGCTTAAACAACAGGGCTCATTTGACCTCTTAACTCATTGACTCTGCATGAGCAAAATAAGTTATTAGTTTTGACATAACCAGTGGTTATTTTACCATCTACTGCTGTTCTTTGTTACATGTTCTATTCATATCACATGTTATTGCTCTTTATAATTATTGTGGAACATAGCAATTGCACAGAGTGTATCATATCCCACTGGGATAAACATTGTGGATGAGGGACCAGAAGAACTTGCCTTTGACTTAAAGTTTATTCCTACTGCTTTCTTTACACGAGAAAGATTTTTCACTGATGGCATTCACAAAACTAACTCTATGTTTTAATGCCTATGGAGCCACTTTGAATAGCACTTTATTCAGGAACTCCAAATGCCAATTTGTTTTCTACTGTGAGGTGTGTGTTCAAGCTTATGAAATGAATAGCTGGTTAATCTTTTAAGCTATTACTCAAGATAAAAATCCACTGAACCTGAAAGCAAAATACAGCATTTACACTGCTGTTCTTTGAAATTTATTTTCCATGCTGTGCCTGTATAACTGTTTATTAATAACATATTTTTGCTTTAGAAAGGAAGCAAAGGTCTGTAAGCTCAGATGTCAATGGGTATCAATATTTTATCCTTTTGTTGACTTTGAAACTCATTACTTAGTGATAGAGAAGCTGAATTTCTATTCTCTTCATGGTGGAAACGTAAAAAAATTAGTAGCATTGCAGCATAAAGACATACTGCCAAATGGATATTATTGTTATGTGTTTTAATTGTAAGTGCAAACCCCATCTAAATAAGGGCAGATGTATTTCCACTGTACAATGTGTTTGTGGGTTTTTTTTATTTTTTTTTGAGAAAGTCTCGCTCTGTCGCCCAAGCTGGAGTACAGTGGCATGATCTCGGCTCACTGCAACCTCCGCCTCCTGGGTTCAAGCGATTCTCCTGCCTCAGCCTCCTGAGTAGCTGGGATTACATGTGTGTGCCACCACGCCCTGTTAATTTTTGTATTTTTAGTAGAGATGGGGTTTCACTATGCTGGCCAGGCTGGTCTTGAACTCCTGACCTTGTGATCTGCCCACCTCGGCCTCCCAAAGTGCTGGGATTACAGGTGTGAACGACTGTGCTCAGCCAGGGCAGGCATATTTCAAAGCACCATATTATAAAGTCAGGAACCACTATAGAATAACATGAAAGCTTTGACATGTTCTACTTGGTGAGGAGAAAAACACTTTAGATAATCAAAAGGGAGAGAACTACTAGAAAGATCTTGCTTGACTCTGTCCTCTAAACTGTTCAGAACCAGATGGTTTCAGAGATACTATACATGAAACTGATAAAGATTTCAACCCAGTGGTTTCTGGGGGAATTCTAGGCAGATGCCATCAGGATGTGCTTAAAAAGTTAAACAGCAGTAATGAATTCCCTTAAATGTCTCTTAAAGTGCATATGGATTCTCCAAAGTCTGTACTTTGATTTTGTTTGTGAGGCTGATAGCTGTAAGTCCAAACAGGGGAATGGAGTTAGTCAAGATTTTAAATCACTTGCATACATGTTCTTTCTCTAAGTCAGCAACAGGGAAAACCTGAAAGTTTTTCTTACTTTTCAAGGAAGCATGGATGAGCATATGGTGAACATTAGTTATCTTAAAAGTAAGTTTTGGTCATGGCTAAATATTGCCTCTTTTTTCTGATATCATTAGCTCAGGACTGAATTAACCTGACACACACGTACAACATTAAAGAGAGTGTTGGCAACAGACTTCTCAGTCATTGTTCCACACACTAGGGACAAGTACACACCTTTGTTGCTGACTGTGGGTGGAACTTGGACAGTTTTAAGTGCAAAAGTAGAGTTAGGAGTGGTACCACTCTGACTCTCACATTGAATTGCACCATGCAAATTGAGGTGTTAGAATCATCTGAAGTTCCTTTGGGAAAACACGACCTAGTGACAGTTGTCTTGGTGTAGTCTTTCACCTGATAATCTTCAATATTCTCACTTTTAACAGAAGGAAATGTGCTTTCTACTGCTAATGAAATCCCTGTGGTGGTGTAAGAGGTAACAGTGAAAAATTTTGAAGAACACAAGCACCTAGTGGCAAGGATTTCCAAGTCTGGAATTGGGGTGCCCAGCCTCTCTCTTGAATTCTGGATTCATATTTTCATCTGTCTGCTTGTCTTGGTAGCTCTTTCACCTTGATGGGTAGTAAACATTGGCCCTTGTCTTACAGGAGAAATTTTCTCCACTCTCAGTGCCAGAGAAAGCTGGGTCTTTATTTTTATCCTCAGGACAATGTGGATCTTGCACTGAGACAACTTCTCTCTTTGCTCTCGCCCTTCAGAAACGTCAAGCCAAATCAGTCTTTCTTCAAGTAATCATATACATCATACAGCATGCATTTTGAGTGCTAATTTTAATCTTGACTTCAACTTACTTCTCTTCACCTTCATTTCCTCATTTATTTCATTTTTTAAACAAACATTTTGTAATGTTTCTACCCCGGCAAGGCACCCCCAAATCCATTTATACAACAAAGAGGAACATAAATAAATAATCCAAATTTGAAAAATGTCATTTTCTTCCCCATATCCTCTTTTACACTCAGTGCTTTAAATTACTGAATTCTCCCTTTTCTTCAGTCACCATTTCTATTCAGTCTTCCTTTTAAATATCTCCTGAAGCCACTCCTTGTTTTTCTGTTCTCCTGCCGTTGCCTTAATTCAGGTAGGCCATCTGATTGGCCTCCCTTTTAGACTCTCATTTTAATAAATTCCACCTCCATGAGTATGGTTGTTATTTCTCTGCTTACAAATACAAATATTATTATTACTTCCTTGCTTAAAAATCTTCAATTGGCTTTGTACTTCCTGTAGACTAACATCTACATTTCTGTCATGTGCTGTTTATTATCTGACCCCAGATTTTCTTCTAGGCTTTTTCACTGCCCTTCCTCATAACCCCATGCAACATGCCACCCAATAATGCTGACCTGCTAATAATGTCCTGAACATGCTGTATTTTTTTTCACACTTCCATGTCATTTTGATGCTATTCTCTTTGCCTGGAAAAAACAATCTCTGTGCCCTAACCCTTGTCCATATATTTCCTAGAGAAAGACTGCTGCTTGTGGAGGCCTCAGCTCCAATGCTATTATCTTTCAGAAATGCCCAGGCATAAATACTCTCTTCTCTCTGCCACCTTGCAACTTGGAATAAGTTTTCATGATGACATATCCAACAGGTATTTTAAGTATTTGTTTACTTGTCTCTTACCTTGATGACACCCTAGTTCTACAACAGTAGGGTCTTGTTATTCTTCTTTGCATCCTCAGTGTCTAGCATAAGACTTGACACATTGTAGGTGTTCTATAAATGTTTATTAAATTAATGAATAGAGGAATGGATTACTGAATAAGTGATGGAATGAATTAATAAATCACTTACCTCTGGTCAATGAGAGAGAGAACCAGATTCTCTTGTCCTGTTGAAAATACGGGTGATTTCCACATTTTTACCAGTTGTTATGGGTTGAGTTGTATCCCTTCCAAATAACTCCTAGTACCTCAAAATGTGACTACATTTGGAAGTAAGGTCATTGCAGATGTAATTAGTTAAGATGAAGTCATAAAGGAACAGCATGGGCCACTAATTCAACGTGACTGATGTCTTTATAAGAAAACGGTCATCTGAAGATAGAGATACACAGGGAGATAACGCATGATAACAAAGGCAGAGATTGGAGTAATGAAGCTGCAAGCCAAGGAATGCTAAAGATTGTCAGCAAACCACCAGAAACTAGAAGAGGCAAGGAAGGGTTCCCTTACAGTTCTCAGAGGGAGAGTGGCTTTGCCAATGCCTTGATTTTAGACTTCTGGTCTCTGGAATTGTGAGACAATAAATTTCTGTTGTTTTAAGCCACTCAGTTTGTGGTATTTTGTTATAGTTGTCCTTGGAAACTAAGACACTCTCTAAGCTCACTTTTAAATGTGGGGATTGCTTTTATGTAATTTTCCTTCATTTAATTATGATAATATGCACAATTCACTTCAATTTGTTAATGTTCACAATGTTTCTAAACAATGCTTCTCTCAAATATTTCAAATAAATACTTCAAATGTGAATGTCATATTTATCAGTAACACCGCTGACCTAAAAAAATGGTCCTACCAGAGCAGTATTAAGGATAGTCCCTACCTGGCACCAGAGCATTAAAGTCTCAGTAATCAGAGTTAATACAGTTTTTGAAAAAAATCAACTATTTGGGGATGTCATTTACATACAATAAAAATGAATCAATTTTAAGAGAAAAGTACAACAATTTGTTTATCCATTTACATGTTGATGGATGTTTGAGCTGTTTCCAGTTTTTGGCTACTATGAATTAAGTTCATATAAATGTTCATTACAAGTCTTTGTGTTGACACATGTTTTCATTTCTCTTGGATAAATATCCAAGGGTGGAATTGCTGGATCATAGGGTAAATGTATGTTTAAAATTTTAAGAAATTTTTAAACTGTCTAAGTGTTGCACCGTTTTACCTCCCCACTAACAATGTATGAAAATTTCAATTTTTCCATATTCTCCCCAAATCTCGATATTGTCAGTCTTTAAAACTTTGGCTATTCTAATGGGTGTGTATATTTTGTGGTTTTTATTTGCATTTTTCCTAATGACTAATAATGTTGAACACTTTTTCTCGTACTTATTGGCCATTTGTACATATTCTTTTGTGAAGTACCTGTTCAAATCATTTGCCCAGCTTCTAAACCTAGAGAGCTTGTCTTCTTACAACCCCTGAGTTGTAAGTGTTTTTAAAATACATATCCTGGATACAAATCTTTGTCAAATATGTTTTGTAAACATTTTCTCCTAGGCTATGGTTTGCCTTTTCTTTTTATTAGTGGTGTGTTTCAAAGAACAGAAGTTTTTCATTTCATTGAAGTCCAATTTATCATTTCTCTATCATGATACATGCTTTTTGTGGTTTATCTAAGAAATCTTTGTCAAGATCAAATAATCTTTTTGTCTTATTTAAAAAATAATTTCATAAATTTATCTTTCATGTTTAGGCTCTGATCCATTTTGAGTTAATTTTTGCATATGGTGTGAGGCAGGGGGTCTAGATTTCCTTCTCCTTATAAATGTATAGTTGTTCCAGCATTATATTTTGAAATACCTATGTTTTCTGCATTGAATTGCCTCAGCACATTTGTCAAAAATCAGTTGGCATTTAAGTCTGGGTCTATTTCCAGACTCTCTAGTCTGTTCTATTGATCTATGTGTCTATTTAGCACACTGCCTTGATTCCTGAAGCTCTATACTAAGTCTTGAAGTTAGGTAGATTAGTTCTTCAATTTCATTTTTCTTTTTCAAAATCGTCTCGGTTATTCTAGGTCCATTGCATTTCAATGTTAATTTCAGAATTAACCCATCAACTTCTAGAAAAAAAAACACTGCTGGTATTTTGCTTAAGATTGCATTGAGTCTATTGACCAATTTGTTGAGAACTGACATCTTAACAACATTAAGTCTTCAGATTCATGAATCTGATATTATTTATTTCAGACTTCTTTGTTTTTCTCAGTAGGAATTAACATATTTAAAAATAGTTTTTGTTAAAGTTTATTTCTCAAAGACAAACTATAATTCTTCCTTTTGTGACTTGGGTCTTGTTATACCCTGAGCAGGACAATGTATGGACTACTGAAAACAAAGGCAGAACCAAGAAAAATCAAACCATTCTGATATTGGTCATAAGTAATTTCTCTTCCTTCTTCCACGTAATAATAATGTTCATAGAATAAAATTGGATTATTTTACAATGGAGATGCAATTGACTTACAGAGATTACTTTTTCTTTTATAGTCAGAAAAAATGATGACAATACACGCACACAAAAAGAAATAACTACAGGTCTCTAAATTTTAACATTACAGGTATGAATTTAGTTAATATGAAGATATCTAACTTCCATTTGAATGATGTATGGCATGAACATATCCTTAAATGACCTATTTAGAAGACAAGTGCTCTTTCTCAGGTTTTCACTTTTCTTCCTTGGCTATGTCATGGGCCCAAGGCCACATGACAACAACTGAAGACTGCATATACTGACCGTATGCTGAGTTTATATACTGGTTGTAGATTATAGATTGAGATCTTAGATTGAGAGTTTAGAGAGCAGATTATAGATTGTAGATTAAGTTTAGATGTAGGTTGTAGATTATAGTAGAATTACCCTGTATGTTTTACTGTTGGCCTAACTTAGATTTGCTTAGCTTTCATGACTTTGCGAACTTCAGGAAAAAGTATACTCTACAATTCCCTTATCCATAGTTTTGAAATCCAGAAAGCTCTGAAAACCTCCAATTTTTAGAAACATCTAATTTGGTTGTAAAACTTGATCTGACCTCAACTCATTTAGTGCCCAAACCTAACTAAACTGGCATGAGGCTATTTTTGGTCTTTTCTATCATTTAGTATAAATATTTAAAAAATTCACTGCAGAAATATTTATACATTTGATTATGGGATGCTGTTGCACACCCTGCTGGGATGTTACAAATGGTATGTGCATCATATTACCTTTCTAAACTCTGAAAAATTCTAAATTCTGAAATGCATGTGGGCCCAAAGGTATTAGGCAAGTGATTTTTGACTTGTATATCTGATTTTTTGTATATCCTGAAGTCATGCAGTCAAGCTGTGGTGAATCTGCAGAATTTAATTTTTTTGTTATATCTGATTTATAAGCAGTCATAAAAGTGGTAAGGTAGAATTCTTTCATTTTTGGCAGCCCAGACTTCATTCCCCCTTTTTAACAGCAGCTGGCTCCTTTTGGAGCATGGCTTCTTCCCTATTGAGAGCTAACTCAGATGTCTCCTCAAAATATAGCAGCTGAAGAAGACAGAATTTCCCGTTTCCTGCCTCAGTGCTGTCAAGAGTTGGGCACATGTGATCCAAGCCTGGCTATTCAGATGACAGTCTTGCAACGTTGATTCTTGGATAAACAAAAGACTAGACGTCACACAACTCAGCCACAAGTGCTGCCCAGCATGTTCCTGGATCTTAGCCTTCTCAACTTAGTATCTTCAAACTTCCCTAGCTCTCAGTACCTGTAAATGTGACCTTATTTGGAAATAAGGTCTTTGCAGATATAATCAAATTAAGATAAGGTTATACTAAATTAGAGTGGATTTATAATCCAATATGACTGGAATCCTTATAAGAAGAGAAGAAACACACAAATACACAGTGAGAATGACACGTGACTACACAGGCAATGATTGGGGTGATCGATCTACAAGCCAAGGAAGGATAAGGATTGCTGGGAAACACCAGAAGCTGGGAGAGGCAAGGAAGGACTGTGAGATAGTAAATTTCTATTGTTTTAAGCAACCTAGTTCATGGTATTTTGTTATAGCAGTCCTTGGAAACCAATGTGCTATCAATAAATTCTGTCTGGGGTAAGTCAACCAGTTTGTTTTCCTGTCTGCCCCTAGGGATTCAAACATGCTAAGTAAAAATCTACATACCTTTATGTGATTCATGGATGTTATACATTATTTTACAATTCTAAACAGGAATATATTTAGATAAAATATTAAATGTTCCTACCTGGAAAACAACAAGCACCAAAGCTGAGAAAGAGACAGAGAGAAGAAAATAGTTCACAAATTCAGACACAAAACTGCAGAGCAACTGAAATCCTGAAGGTTTCCAAAATAAAATATTATGTTGCTCATAGCAACAAATTAGTGAATAGCCAATCAGGGCTTGCCTTTAAAATATATTAAAATAGGCTGTCCTTTACATAAGAGAAAGTCTTCTTTATGTTATGATTGCTTTCCAGGATATATTACATTATGATAAACGATTATCTACATTGTTTTGACAATCAGGGAATTTATGAATGAGAAACGGATTTGCCTGCAGTGATGAACTGAATTGTAAAAAAAAAAAAGCATTAGCAATGATGATACTTTTAAAAATGTGTTTAAGAATTGTGTTACAGTTTTGCTTTCTTTTTAATCAGGAGGAAGAGAAAAAAAAAGGCAGCCAAAAGGCATTTATTTTGTAGTAACAAGCATCTGACATCTCTCATTAGAAGAATTCACTCGCAAATCCGAAGGTATAGGCTGGTTTGTTTTTGCTCTATCACACTTACATGACCTCTCAGCTGCAGTATTGAGATCTCCTACTTGTGTTTTTAACCTTGTGCATGGGGCAATGTCGCAAACTTTTGCTGCTATTTATTCTGAGGTTTCTTAGGGTGAGAAAATGATGATTTTCACCAGTTTTAGGAGGGTATGTAGCAACGGGGACCCTGGGCTTAAAGATCTGCATGTTAGGCATGAAGTGCCTCCTGGATTTGTAGGAAATAAATCTCAAGGTGAAACAGAAATTATGACTACTTTTCTCCATTTATGCCTTTAAAAAAATCCAAAATAGAACACAATAAAAACCCAAGAAGTTAGATTACCTGTTGAGGAAAAAAGAAAGTGTCAAAGTTGAAGTATTACTAACAGACATGGTAAGATTATTTATACCAAGATTGCTTTAAAATTCTGTGAAGGCTAGCAATTGCAACTCCACCATGGTTAGGTGTTGCTTGGGGAGGTTAGCTGGCTGCCTGCCAAACAACCTCACAGTTTGGCATTCATCTTGATGAATTTAAAGTACAGCCTTTTCAGATTTGCAGGCTCTGAAATTGATGTATTCAGCATCCTGAGACTCACATGTACCAAGCTCACATGAGCCTGATATGTAAATCAGAATGCTAAAATAAAATATATAATAAGAAGCCTTTCTCACCGGCAAAGGAAAATCTAAATAAGAATCTAAATTGTAATGAGAAATAGGCTTGAAATGTATGGAATCAGAACATGGGAGATTAGTCATATGATTCAAATTTCAATGGCCTTGCTAACCAGATGCATTCACCTCCAGTAGCAAAGACCTACCAGTGGGACCTGATGGGCTGGCTGTGAGAACTTGGCCTTCTAGCCCTTGGCTGTGCTGGTCACCCACTGCCAGCTGCTTTACTTCTGACTCAATGTGACTTCCAGTCAACTTTCAGTATGACTCTTCAGAAAGGCCATTTCCTTCTCTAGATGTTTTAATGTCATTAGTAAAGTATCTGCTTTTGACATATGTCATCACCCAAATCTTTAACCTAGGAGAAATCTTTCAGTCATGTTGGAATGCTTTATTTACTTACAAATCAATAATTTTCCATCATGTAATATTTAAATGTTTCCCAACTTAATAAATTCTGATTTGGAGGAAACCTTACTTTTGTTCTGTGTATTATCTACAGGCACTAAGATCCTGAAAATGTCTTTTCCTCTTCACATTACACACAAGGAAACCAGACTGTGAACATAACAATGAGTTACTTGAAAATTAAAGGTAAGTCAATGATGCATACCTGGTTCATGTAGTTAATCAGTGAACGTTGGTGGAGTGAATGAGTGTGAGTGTGAATGATGAGTATGGCTGACATGTTTTGAATTTGACTTGAAACGGAACAGCAGAGGACATTGATGCAGAGATTTTCCTGCTCATCACTTTATGATCATCAAAGACACTTTTTTAATTAAATAAAATCTTTACTAATGAGTAACCTTTCAAGTTCCTATTGTTTCAAACACATTCAGTTCACAGTGAAAAGTGGCAATGACCTGATTTTGCCATTTCGTTTTAATAATTTAGACTGTTTTCTTTTTCTGAGGCAATTTAGGCACAAACAGTGAGATGCTGCCCCTGAAAAAAATTGTCAATAATTACAAGATCACATTCTATCCTGCTATTTTCCTCAGGACAAGAAACTCTTGTCCTTACTGGAGAACTAGCTTAGTGGTCTCCCTATGGTATTAGTCCATCAGTGGATATAGATATTGAGTGTCTTTCATGTATAGGGTATTTTGTTAATTGCAGCAGTGTAGTTATTACTACACATGTTCTTCACCTTCGGACATATTAGTTGAAAAGCCAATATCTACATAAGCAAAGTTAGTTATCATTACAAAGCAAATACAAAAGAGCTGGAAGAAACATTAAAGACTGTAAGCATTTATACAAAACCACTCACCAGAGTTGGAGAAGTTGGGAATTCTTCAGGGGCCTTATGAAGACTTTATTTTCTTCTCATCTTACCCAACTTTCTCTTGTTCACACACAAAATCATTGTTTAAGTATTTTATGTTCAAAGATATTCTATCAGGCTGGGAGTGGTGGTTCACGCCTGTAATCCCAGCACTTTGGGAGGCCGAGGCAGGTGGATCACAAGGTCAGGAGTTCAAGACCAGCCTGGCCAAGATGGTGAAACCCTGTCTCTACTAAAAATACAAAAATTAGCTGGGCGTGGTGGTGGGCACTTGTAATCCCAGCTACTCAGGAGGCTGAGGCAGAGAATTGCTTGAATCTGGGAGGCAGAGGTTGCAGTGAGCCGAGATCATGCCACTGCACTCTAGCCTGGGCGACAGAGCGAGACTCCATCTCAAAACAAAACAAAAAAAAGATAGTCTATCTTCTTGGATTATATAATATATTCTGAGCTTTCAAGCCAAGTATAATGGCAAGGCCAACTTCTTTCACTACATTCTCTTCTTAGGTCTTTATATATGAATGACTTCCAGGATCATATCTCCAGGACAGTCCCCCTTCCCTCTGACCTCCAGACTTACTCTTTGACTATCAGTTTGACACCTGCATTTGGTTGTATGGCAGTAGGCATCTCAAACTTACTATATCCAGAACTCTAGATTTCTCCTCCACTTGTTCTTCACCACCATCACAAGCCCCAGGTCTTCCTCAGCTCTGTGAATGGAACCACCATCTAACCACATGCTCAAGTTAAAAACCTAGAAGTCACTCTTGAGTGCTGTTTTCTTCTCACTTTTCCTCCTCTTTGCCTCCCTTGATCTATCCAAAAGTCCTCCAGGTCCTACCTCCAAAATACATTCTATATCTATCCGCTTTTACTAACCTAGGCCAAGCTACCATCATTTCTTGCCTGGTCTCTCTTTTTATTCTTTAAACCTAATTTTTTTATTTTGGTAAAATATACAGACAATCCCCAATTTAAGAAGGTTCTACTTATGATTTTTTTTTACTTTGCAATGATTCAGAAGCAATAGGCATTCAGTAGAAACCATACTTCAAGTATCCATACAGCCATTCTGAACATTTTATTATAAAATAGGCTACGTGTTAGATGATTTTGCCCAACTGTCAGCTAATGTAAGTGTTCTGAGCATGTTTAAGGTAGGCTAGGCTAAGCTATGTTGTTCAGTAGGTTAGGTAGATAAAATGCATTTCAAGGCTGGGCACAGTGGCTCGTAATCCCAGAACTTTGGGAGGCCAAAGCGGGCAGATCACAAGGTCAAGAGATTGAGAGTATCCTGGCCAACATGGTGAAACCCCGTCTCTACTAAAAATACAAAAATTAGCTGGGCGTGGTGGCACTGCCTGTAGTCCCAGCTACTTGGGAGGCTGAGGCAGGAGAATCACTTGAACCCAAGAGGCAGAGGTTGCAGTGAGCCAAGATTGTGCCACTGCACTCCAGTCTGGCAACAGAGTGAGACAGCATCTCAAAAAAAAAAAAATGCATTTCAACTTACAATATGTATTTTTCTGTCGTCTTTATTTCTTTTCTTTTTTTTTTTTTTTTTTTGAGATCAGCTCTGTTGCCTGCCTGGGCTCAAGTGATCCTCTCACATCAGCCTTTCAAGTAGCTGAAACCACAGGTGTGTGCCACCATGCCTGGTGAATTTTTTTAATTTTCTGTAGAAACAGGGTCTTATCATGTTGTCCAGGCTGGTCTCAAATTCCTGGGCTCAAGCAATCCTCCTGCCTTGGCTTCCCAATGTGTTGGGATTACAGGCATGAGCCACTGTGCCCAGCCTCTCTCACATCTATTCTCTTTTCTTCACTGCATTTATCACTATTTAACATTGACACGCTTATTCATTGGTTGGCTTATTTATAGTCTGTCTTCCTATTTTAGTATCTGCCACCATAGCACTACTGACCAGTGGATCTAATAATTACAAAGTCAGTTGGTTTCTTATTTTTACTGTCCTGTGGTGTAGTATATTAATCTTCTAAATGTAATACTTAGGCATTTGCAAAATGGCACATCACACTTAAACTATAGTATGCTCTCTGTTATTGTGGTACCTAGACTACAATAGTACATCACTGTGAGGTTGAGACTAGACATCTGAAAAGTGAGTATGTGCCTTGGAAGTACTTAAGACACAGCAGATCAATATATTTGGACGGCCATGTCAAAGTGAGTGTGTAATTTGTATTAAGTGAGTGTGGACACTCATAGATGGTACCTATAGATCCTTGCTGTTATTGGTCACATACTGCTGTCAGGGGAAAAAATTGTGCACACACCCTTAAACTCTATGCATTTATTTACAAATTGTTTATAAATTGTTAGTATTTACTTACAAATATTGGAAAATATTGGTAAAATTAGTAAAATATATTAAATATTAGTAAAATTAAGTTTTTATTTTTTAAGATTAAAAAGCAAATAGAGGTTCCAATATACCTTTTCTACATATACTCTTGGATAAATGCTCCCCACTCTTGAGCCCACTGGCCTAATCACAGACCATGAAGTATGTCAAGAGCAAAGCTCTCTTCACTGTCATTAATCAATCTTCTGTCAATATGCTTTGTGGAGGTATAGATCTCTTTCAGCTGCCTGTCACAACAGAATGACAGTTGTCTGCCTCTCCTTAAAATGCAGGGAGAACACTTGATGGTCTCTGGTATGATCTACTAGTTTTTTGTTGAGTAAAGTTATTAATGTTCTGGCCTTAATTTTCCTTCAGACCCTTCTGGTAGATATAATCTTCTGCCTTTTTTCCTTTTCCTTTTTTTTTTTTTTTAAATAATCAAAGGAGTCTTTGTGTTCCAGTATGACACTAGGCAAAGTTTTTATACAGCCCATCAGGAATTCACATATGACCTCACTGGACAATATTCAGCTTATACTTCATCACATCATGTAATTTATGTGAAAAAATTTAAATGAATAAGGCTTTCAGAATAAGAATGTTTTTATATTTAGCAAAGTAGTTGAAAGAGACATATATGATAATTTTGCCCATTGTTTATACATTTATTCTAATGAATATGATTAGTTTTATTTAAGAAATAGAATTGTATAAAGTCATCTTTTCATTGAAATTAAGCATACTGTGTATATACTGTAAGTTGCTAAGGTCTGGTGAAAGTTGAGGTGTTTGGGGGTGCTTGGTATAATGAGTTTTTTGCTCAATCAATTGATTTTCCAGTTACGTTCTTTTCAAAATTAAGAGAGAAAAAAAAATTCTTCACCTCATAGCATTTGAATTATCACTCTGTGATCAGATAGTCTGAATAGTTTCCACCAAACTGAAAATTTTCTGTTTCCATGAGCTTTGTAAAAGAGTCTTCCTGTTTTAAGAGGAGAAAGAGGAAAAAGCAAAGTTGTCTGTATGGGAGGCCAGGTCTATTCTCGGCTTTGTCACTAATTACTGTGTGGCCTCCTGCACGTCCCTTTATCTCTCCAGTATGATTGTTTTCTTATCTATTGAATGGACACAGTAATTCCTGTTCTCCCTCACATTTTTAGGAAGTGCTTTAACTCTGCAGGGATATGCATGGAAATGACTATATAAGTAAAGAAATTTTGCCATAAAAGCTGCTCACACGTAAAATATTACTATACATGAATTTCAATTTAAAAACTGTTTTTTGTGTATCTACTGTGTTATGTTTTATCACTTTTTGCAAATAACCTTTTTATTTTCTAACAGTTTTAGATTTACAGAAAAGCTGTGAACATAGAGTTTCTATATACCCTGCATCCAGTTTCCCTTATTATCAACATTTTATATTAGTATCTTATCCTTATTTTTAATAACTAAAATAAATATTATTCTGTATGTTCAAGGACTGAAAAATAAATGTGGCATCCCCTGATTCCTTTTCTGTGATCTTAGCTTCCCACTCCCTCACCAGCCCATGAAAAACAATGTATGTGTTGTAAGATGTATCAGTTATGACGTTTTTGGCTCCAAATAACAGAAAGACCTGACCCAACTGGCTTAAGGAGTAAAGAAAATGTATCATCTCAGATGACAGGAGATGTGGAGGTAGAAGAGTTCTGGGATTGATGCAGCAACTCAGGGACATCAGGAGAGTCTTAGGCTTCTTCCATTTTAATTAAATTTATTTAATTAGTTAACTTTTTTAGACAGGGTCTGGTGCTGTTGCCCAGGTTGGAGTGCAGTGGTGCTATGTTGGCTAACTGCAACCTCCACCTCCGGGGCTGTTGATTCTCCCACTTCAGCCTCCTTGGTAGCTGTGGCCACAGGCGCATACCACCATGCTCAGCTAATTTTTCTTTTTTTTTGGAGAGACAGGATTTCCTCCTGTTGCCCTGGCTGGTCTTGAACCCCTGGGCTCAACCAACCCTCCTGCCTTGGCCTCCCAAAGTGCTGGGATTACAGGGAGGAGGCACCATGCCAGGCTTCTTGCATTTTTCTGCCTTGTCATTTTCAGTGAGTTGGCTCTTCTGCAGTCTAGCACTGCTCCTGGTTGCTGGATTGCTGTAGCAGTTCCCACATTTTATCCAGAGGCTACCACAAATGGTAGAAGAGAGGTTGTTTCTCCCTTTGTGGTTCTTAATCAGCAAAGAATACCTTTCCCAGAAGCCCTCCAGAAGACTTTCTATTTGGTTTCATCCAATTTGCATCATATGCCCGCGCTACACCAGTTAATGGTAAGGAAAGGAGGGCGCCATGACTGGCTTATACTAATCATGACATGTCCCTTGGGGCTGGGATTGGTATTCTTTTCCTTTGAGAAAGTACATGGCCATCTAAGGGACAGGGAACACCTAAATGAAAGTGACCTTGGGGCAGAAAGAAAGTGTGGCAGTGGTGATGAGTGGCTGCTGGGTAAGCATTAACAAAAGCAACTTCAACAGATATTATTAAACTTGCATAATAATGGTGAGTGGAAGAAATTTAAATAATAAGATAGCTAATGCATATATTTGCATATTATGGGCCAGGTATTATTCTAAGAAAGTGGATTCTGTAATATCATCAAGGTATTTTCTAACTTACTTTAAAGTAATGTAGATTTGAGAATTCAGTACGGCTCTTTGGGGCCATTAAAATGTGCAAAGCTGCCTATTTTACAGATTGAGACAATATATGCTGAATAAATATTTGTTGAACTGTACTGAATGACTTTTTTTTCTGAAACTTTAAAGCAAGATATATATTTTGCTTTTTCTGGTTGTCTTGAATACAGCTTACTCTTTTACATTTTGGCCCTTAGACCATTTTGCCTTTATTGTTTAATGTATTGAATATACATATTTCAAGTGGAGTTAGTATGAATAAATTAATATAGATAACATTTTATATATAATGAATTGCATTAAAAAAGCTTAACTTATAACTGTCAGAACATTACTAAAATTTGAAGAATTCATTTGAAACTATTAATCATCTATTTTTAAAATTTTACATTTGTTTGACTTTTTGGTGTTTTACTGAGGTTTAATTTACTATGAATTCACTCATTTTTGGCACACAGCGTTCTATGATTTTAACACATTTATACAGTGTGCAACCACCAGAATTAAGAGGGAGAATATTTACAACATTTTAAAAAGTTCTCAGATGCTTCTTTTTAGTCAGTTTCCTCCCCTCCACCACATCTTCAACCCCTGGCAATTATTGCTTTGATTTCTGTTCCTACAGTTTCTCCTTTTCCAGAATATTGTATAAATGGAGTCATACAGTATATAGCCTTTTGAATCTGGCTTCTTCCACTCAGCATAAGTCTTTTGAGATTTATCCATGTTGGGGTATGCATCTGTGGTTGGTTCTTTTTTATTACTGAGTTGTGTCCAGTCATATGGATGTACCACAGTTTGTGTATTCATTCAGAAGATGGTGGGCATTTGGTTTGTTTCCAGTTTTTGGCATTCGTGAATAACATTGCTATAAATACTTGTGAAGAGGTTTTTGTGAGTACATTTGTCTTTATATCTCTTGGGTAAATGTCTAGGGGAATTGCTGGGTTATAAGGTAACTGTGTATTTAATTTTATAAGAAAATGCCAAGTTGTTTAACCAAGTTAACCATTTTGCATTCCTACCAGCTATGTATGAGAGTTCCAGTTGCTCCACATCTTCCCTCAACATTTGGTAATGTCAATGTTTAATATAAGGTATTCTAATAGGTATGTAGTAGTATCACACTGATTTTCATTTGTATTTCACTAATGACTAATGATGCTGAGTATCTTTTTATGTACTTACACAACACATCTCTTCATTGGTGAAATGACTATTCAGATCTTTTGCCCATTATTTTTTACTGGGTTATTTGTTTTCTTATCACTGAGTATTGAGAGTTTTTAAATATTCTGGATACAAGTTTTTAATCAGCTAGAATTCACAAATATTTCATCCCAGTCTGTCGCTTATGCTTTCATTTTCTTAACTGTGTCTTAGGAAACTAATCTATTTTTAAGATTCAAATTTGTATGCTCTAGGTTAAGAGAAATAAAAACATTTTATATTATGATTTCTTGAAGATTGCTTACATGCAGGTTAAGCTAAAATGCCTTTCTAAACCTCAAAAGGCCATGATAATTTTAAAATAAATTTTTCTCTAATATCCTGAAAAAAATGTTAAGCAACAATAGCATTAAGGCTTTCTAAAATACTACAATTATGAGCTGTTGATATTCATAATATTTATATCTGTCCTGAAGGTTTGCAGCATGATTATTACTTATCATAGGAAATTAAACTGTAGAAGAATGTACATTAAGTTTTCCTTATGGCTCATTATAACATTGCTATAATGCCAGATGAACCTCACCCCAACCCCCATCCCCTAAAAAAACAAGAGTTATCAATGAGCCACTGGGATAATGTCATATTAATCAAATAGAATATTAAGTCAATACTCTGGTTTTTCTGTTATACAATATTTGGAAACTTTATTAGTTGAGATAGACCAGGCTGATGCTATGGTAATAATTCCCAAATCTCAATGCTTAACACATAAAGGTTTATTTCTTGCTGTTTTTAAAAGGACTGCTGTAGGATGGTGGTGGTGGTATGTAGGTTGGTCTATTTAGTTTATCTGTGCTCCAGGGTGATGGAGATTCCACTTCTGGAACTTTGGTTGGGTGTTACAGCAAGGGAAGAGAAAGAATGAAGAATCCTGCAATGTTTCTCATTGTCTCCCTGACACATACAGGTCTCATCACTCACATTTCATTAGCTAGAATTTGTAATGTGGCCTCGAGGGGGCTGGAAATTGTGTAGTCTCTTGTACATTCTGGAAGTTGGGGAAAATTGAATATCGGTGAGCACTAATAATGTTTACCACATTTTCTAAAATAGCATAAAAGATAAATTATAACAACATTATGTAAACTAGAGGAACATTTTGAAATAGTTTTACTAATTACTGGATAGGAAATCTTGGATAAGCTACCTAACCTCTCTGAGCTTCAATGACCCCATCTGGAAAAGGGGTAATAGCAATAGCTAATACTTATCAAGTGTTTATAAGGTGTCAGGTTCTGTTATGAATACTCTACCTATATTAAATGCATTAATCTTTACAATTCACACACAAGAGGTACTTATTATCTCCATTGTTACATATGAGACAACTGCGGCACAAGGACACAAAGCAGCTAGCATCACCCAGACCACATGTGAGAGCTGGATCTGTGATTGAAGCCCAGGTATCTGGTGTCAGTGCTCCTCGACTCCATGACAAGGCTTTACCTCTTCTTTAATAGCTAATCACACCCATTTGAATGAGATGTGTATTAAGTACTTAAGTTGCCATTGCAACATTTTAGATGTTCTGGCAAAATAGAAAGCTGGCTAATATATTCAACTGAATAATTCAGTGAACATGGTGTTCTTTTTTGGAGGTGGGGAGTAGAGAGGGAAAAGGAAAGGGTTATCCCAAAATTATTGTATATGTGGCCAAGGATTTCTGTCCACAGTTCTCTATGGGGGCCTTTTACTTTCCGTAACTCATTTTAAAATTCTGACCTCAATACTAATAATGATGCCTTTGAAGACTTCAGTTCTGGCACAGGGACTCGACAGATTTTCACAGAATCCTACTATAGACTGAATTTGATGGTGATGCTCCATAATAAATTACTGGGTCCCTCTTCTCTCCAAGGGAAGTTAACTTCCATCACAGCACTCTTAAGAGTTTCAGATTGCATAGAAATCAGTGTTTCTGGATATGTCTGAGCAATCAGTGACTTTGTTAGACATTTCAACTGGATCTCTCCCACCATGCAGTATAAGAAATTACCAAGGGCTCTATTCTAGAAAGCCACGAGATTCCTTTGTCAGTTAGAAATGCTTTTGGGTGCAAGTAACAGAATACCTAATAAATAATAATTGAAACAAGAGGAGTTTATTTTTCTCACATAGTAAGGAGACTGAGGGTTGGCAATGTTGACATGGGCTCAGTGGCTCTAGTGGTTTCTTATCTTTTTCCTCATTGTCTTGATGGCCACTGCAGCTATAACCATCCCAGCCTTATATCAAAAGGAAGGGGATGACAGTAAAGGGAAGAAAAGCTTTCTATGAAACTTCACAAGGGGTGTCACAGTCACAACAGTATCACATGCTCATCATTGGCCCAGTTCACCTGTGCTGTGAAGATGCTGAGCATCTCCCTCCAAGCTCCTGATTAAAATGCATTCTGCTACACAGGATAAAGGAGTGTGTGTGCATATGTATGTGTGTCAATGGTTTCTGTAGACAATAAATTGTAGATGAAATACTGTGTAGACACACATTCTTTCTCATAGGCATCCGAGAACAGATAACTCCCTAACTGGGTTTTCATTGTGAGGGCCTATTAGCTGCTCTGGAACTGACCCGAGCCCTCTGAAAGTGGCGATATTGACTCCCAGCCCTAGAAGATGAGGGCCAATCAAGCTGTCTCTAGTGAGCCTCCAATTTCAGCACATGCGGGGTTATGGTTCCCACAGCAGTCAGGAAGCCCTTCCTCATCACATCTCCAACAAGAAGCCCTTCCTCATCACATCTCCTCATCACATCTCCACGAATGAATGAACTGATTATTTTGGCAACTCTGTAATTCGACTTCATTGCATTGTAAACTCAGATCAATTTTAGTTAATAATCAGATCAAGCCATTTCAGGACAGTTGTGTCAGGCTTAATATTTTTAACAAGATAGGGTACCAGGTTGAATCTGATGCAAATTAATTTGAAATTTTCAAATTCAGTTAACAAAAGAGTCTGGATTATCTTTATACCACGAATTCTATCATGCTAAATGGGTCCATTGCAAAGTTATTCCTGAGGACTGTAACTTCTGTTCTGCTGAACTTTTATTATTTTGAGTTAAAAGAGGTAATTTTTTTTTCCTCTCTAATTCCTCCTTTCATAATTTACGCAACACATTTGCAATAGAAGGAGCTATTGAGGGCACTGCATTGAGGACAATGTTACAGCACACACCACCAGTTTTCTTTCAGATGTTCTCATCCACCCATTGAGGTTGGAAGTTTGGAGAGTGCATCTGAAAGAGCCTACCGATATGCCTCAACTTGGTATCCCTGTCTTTTAGTATTTCATGAGATACTACTAACAAGCTAAGAAAAGACAGTCTCTGAGTGCTGAATATAGGTAGGTCTGGGCAATTTACTTATTGATTTATTAATTTTATTTTTTTGAGACAGAATCTCGCTCTGTTGCCCAGGCTGGAGTGCAGTGATGCGATCTTGGCTTGCTGCAACCTCTGCCTCCCGGCTTCAAGTGATTCTCTTGCCTCAGCCTCCCAAGTAGCTGGGACTACAGGCGCACACCATCACGCCCAGCTAATTTTTTTATTTTTAGTAGAGATGCGGTTTCACCATATTGGCCAGGCTGGTCTTGAACTCCTGACCTCAAGTGATCTGCCCACCTCAGCCTCCCAAAGTGCTGGGATTATCGGCGTGAGCCACGGTGTCCAGCTACAGTTTGTACTACAATTTCATATTTGTGGTTGAGTGAAAACACATTTTAATATTTATTTTTAAATTTTTTTTATTTTTCCAATAGCATATATTATGGAAGGAGAAATCATTCTCTTCAGTGTAAGTGTTCTTTCAAGTTTTTTTAATGTTGTAAAGTAAATAAATAAACAACTTCTACAAGAAGCAAAACAACATTAGTTAAATCCTCTGTAAGCAACAAAAGACCACTTATCTAACTGGAAGCTTAGTTAACTGGAACTTAGATGGGAAGCTTAGTTCATTGTTTGCAGAATGTTCTGAAGCCCCCAGATGAGAGAAGCCACATTTTTCGATATCTGGCATTTTTGTAACAGTGTTTTCAGCTGCCTAGGAGAGCTGACTCAGAATCTGCCTCCAACATCACTGGCCTGTGTTTTGTGAGGGGAGCATCAGTACTTGGTTCAATTGTTTAGAAATTATACAACTTGCCTGTGACCTAAGGAGGTTTATGTTTAGGAGTGGTGCGCTTTCGAAAATCATGTCCTTTTAAAAAGCCACCCCAAAAAGTGTCACAGTCATCAATCAGAGGAAGAATCCAGGAACAAACTAGTGATTTCCCCAAATTCCTTTTGCTTTGCCTTTTTGTTTTTTCAAAGATCAAATTCGAATAGCATTTTATGCTTTCTTTCACTGAAAAGAATGGCCTGAAGAAGGTATTTCACAACTAAGAATTAACAATGACCCGGAGAAGGTATTTCAATCCTCTTAAAGAAAGCTTTTATAGTATGACAAACCTATGCACCTTTAGGGGGCTCATCTTGTGCATGGTGGATTTGAGCCGTCAGTCAGATGTGGAAGTCCTGGCTGGTTCCTGTGCTGTGCCGCCGCTGAAGCTGTATTTATGGCAAAGGCTTCAGTCACTATCAAAAGTAACATGGGCTCACTGTCTCTGAGCCTCTCCTCCGAGCAGAGGAATGTTAAACCAGACATCTGTCTGCTAAAACAATCAATTAAACATATGCCTGCTCTCAAAGGAGGATCTTGTTCTGCCTGTCTCTTAAGTTTTGGAAAATGGCTTTTCCTAAATGAGCTTTAGAAAAGCAATAATAAGCCAAGCTACACACCTTATAGTGATTTTTATGTTAACACAGGAAACACACATTTTTAATGCTGTATATCGTTCAAGTAGAATTTTCAATGGGTGTAGTAATATAATTATAATTATATAACACATAATACAACTATAATATACGATACTAGTTTTATTAGAGCTATGCTTTATGAGGTATTAGGCACTAATCTTATTTAACTATCATAATAGTCCTGTGTGATGGGCATAATTTCAATTTTACAAATGAAGAAACTGAAGCTTTTAGAGAGTTTGGTTATATCTAAGTGCACAGGCGGGGATTCCAGACTCTCGTCAAAGCTTGTGTCTTAGCCACTAGGCTCTACTGCCTACAGTTCTAGAATACTATATACTGGTCATTCCTGGTGATGATCAGTAGATGTTCATGAATTACTGTTGGTTTAAATATTACCTTATCCTTACAGGAAGAGAAGATGGTAAACATAATATCTGTGGATTTTTTTTCCAGTAGAAGAAAAGTCAATATAAAAATTGACCAAAGGAAAACATTGTCTTCAGTCCTTCCAAATTCATTCTTAGTGGCGCATCCTTAGGCTCATGGCAATGTGTAGAAAATGACTGTCATCAAACGCTAAGGATTTTAGGATAGTAAAGTACTGACAAAATGAAAACTGTTTCTGTCAAAATGCTTAGCTGATTTCCACCATGAAGAGAACTGGGCAGGACCAAAACAGTAAGGTTCAGAATGTTCATTAAAAATATACCAGGACCCTTTACTTTGTAAATAGTCAACATAACTTATGGGATTGGAAATTCCTTGGAGTAAAATATTTACCCTATGAAGGAAAGGACAGTGGACAGGAAGTTAGGGGGTGTAGATTCTGGTCCTGCCTCCTATTAGCTATGTGACCCTGGACAAGTCACCTGCCCTCTCCAGATTTCAATGTTCGCATCTGTAAACTGAAGCCTCTGGCGCCTTCCAATTCTCAAATTCTGAGTCGATGAGGCGGATCCTTTGGAGCAAGCGCCGGAGGTCCCTTTCCCAGAATGCTCTGCGCCGTGAAGAAGCGACTCCCGGGTACTGGGGGCATTTTGTGTTGGCTGGAGCTGGAGTAACAAGATGGCGTCGTCGGCGGAGTGACAGGGGTCCCTCTGGGCCGGAGCCGACGGCAGTGGTGGCAGCGGTACCGCTCCCCAGCTCACTGCGCCCCTTTTCCAGCCCGGACGTCGCCGCGAAAGCGAGGCAGCGGCGGCTGCCCAGAACAGGTGGCCCAGCCTGGTAACCGCTAGAAGCCCTTCACAAACTGCGGCCTGGCAGGCAACCAACCAAAAAACAAACAAAGAATCCTGACCGAGCAGCGGGCATCAAGTTCCCTTCGCCGGCATCTGGGCCCTGGACGCCGGGAAAGGCCTCCGTGTTCCGCTTCCTGCCGCCTTCCACGGTAGGCTTGGCCCAGCCTCCATCTTCGTCTCTCAGGACGGCTAGCAGCAGAATTCATTGTCGGAAGGAAATATAAACTGCTTTGGAAGATCTGGTGTAGCTCCTTCGGAGACATCTGTCTGGCGATCAGCATCACCAACGGTGAAGAAGTGGTAGTGAAGCCAGAATCTCAGGGCCAGGCATCCCCAGTTGCTGTACAAGAGCAGGCTTTACAAGATGCTTCAAGGTGGGGTTGGCATCCCCCACATACGGTGGTGTGGTCAGGAAGAAGACTATAATGTACTAGTCATGGATTTTTCTGGGACCTAGCCTCGAAGACCAATTTCTGTTCAAGAAGGTTCACAATGAAAACTGTACTTATATTAGCTGACCAGATGATCAGTAGAATTGAACATGTGCATACAAAGAATTTTATACACAGAGCCATTAAACCAGGTAACTTCCTAATGGGTATTGGGCGTCACTGTAGTAAGTTATTCCGTATTGATTTTGGTTTGGCCAAAACGTACGGAGACAACAGGACAAGGCAACACATACCATACAGAGAAGATAAAAACCTCACTGGCACTGCCCTGTATGCTAGCCATGCACATCTTAGTATTGAGCAGAGTCGCCGGGATGACATGGAATCGTTAGAATATGTTTTGATGTATTTTAATAGAACCAGCCAACCAGCCTGCCATGGCAAGGGCTAAAGGCTGCAGCAGAGAAACAAAAATATGAAAAGATTAGTGAAAAGAAGATGTCTACTCCTGTTTTTTGTAAGGGGTTTGCTGCAGAATTTGCCATATACTTAAACCCTTGTCGTGGGCTACACTTAGAGAAAGCCCCAGATTACATGTATCTGACGCAGCTATTCTGCATTCTTTTCAGGACCCTGATCCATCAATATGACTACACATTTGATTGGACAAAGTTAAAGCAGAAAGCAGCACAGCAGGCAGCCTCTTCTAGTGGGAGGGGCAGCAGGCCCAAACCCCAACAGGTAAGCAACCTGACAAAACCAAGGGTAACATGAAAGGTTTCTAAGCATGAATTGAGGAACAGAAGCAGCAGAGCAGATGATCAGAGCAGCATTTGTTTCTCCCCAAATCTAGAAATTTTAGTTCATGTGTACATTAGCCAGTGGTCATGGACAGCCATTTACTTGGTGTAAAGAACTTAATTTTAGTATAAACTGACTCTGGGTAGCATTGGTGATGCTGTATCCTGAGCTGTGGCTACTGTAATTGTGAATATTAACTGAGACAGTGAAACATGGTGGCCGGGTTTCTAGTGCATTTTTTTTCAAGTGAAAAAGTTTACTAAATGGTTGACACACACAAATTGGTGGAGAAATTATGCATATGCCAATTTTCTGTTAAAACCTTTTGTTTTGAACTATACTGCTTTGAGATCTCATCTCGGAAGAATGTCGTGAACCGTCTTCAGCCAGTTTTGATGGTTATAAATGCTCACAATTGTGCATTCTTAGGGTTTTTCCATCTCTTGGGTTTGCAAGTTGTTCACGTAAAACGTTCTTAAAGTTGTTGGCTTGTTGTTTGCAAACCAGCTGGTAGGGTAGCAACCAAAGATTCCAATGTTGGAGCACATGAAAGACTGCCTGCTTACTTGTGCTAGAAATAATAGCATCTAAAGTGAAGACTTAAGAAAAACTTAGTGACTACTAGATTATACTTAGGACTCTGCATTAACTTTATAATGTTCTTAGTGTTTTTCTTAAAAGCTTGTCACAGAAATTTAGTTAACATCTTACAACTGAACATGTATGTATGTTGCTTAGATAAATATTATCACTGTAAACATCTATATGATTGGGGATCTTGTTTTTATTTTGAAATGGTAGCTTTTCTGTTTTTAAGTTCATTAAAAACTAAAAACTGTTTCTGTAGGAAGATGAGTTTTTTTTAAACAAAAAAAAATGCCTTGCTGACTCCCTATTAAATAAAATCTCCCAATTTTTTGATAAAATTGAGTCTGTGAGTCAAACTCACCTTCGCTAATGGCTCAAAGATGCAATTAGTATCTTTCAGGGAATTGTCAAGAAATAAACTGAAAATGTAATTCGATTTTCACATGAGTTTCTTGGCTCATTCTATGCACCCATTTTGCCATTTTTAACTCATTTGTCATTGGGAAATATTTTCAAGGATAATGGGGAAGTAAGAAAGACGAAAGTAATTTACCAAAAGACTGAGTTTTACATCATTATGCAATGTGCTCATGGCCACTTTGCCATCTTTCATTGTTCTGCTTTTCTATTATCCTCTGTTAGGTTGCACTGCTATTTTTTCATTTATTGAAAATTTTATTTTTTAAAAATTGTAACTCTGAAACCAAGATGGATTCTTCTATTCAAATTAGTACAAAATATAATACTTTTAGATTTTTACCTAATTTTCCATGTGCAATGATTGTCATTATTTTAGCTGCCAGAATTAATGAACTGATACAATTAAAAGGTTCTGGCAAAAGTATTTATAGCTTAATGGTAAATATATTAACAAAATTGTCTTACCATGTAAAGCATACAATCTTCTCTGTCCTTGAAAATATTTTACACTTCTTTTTGGGAACATATTTTCAAACCACTATTATATACAATCACTACCTTATAAAAATGCACTGTACTAAGCAGAAAATTGATACCCAGATGATATAAAGGCCATGAAAGATAAAGGAGGCAGAGTGTTTAACTCACCTTGAATTCCTAGCCTGGTTTGAGTGGGAGAAAAAAAAAAACCACCCCAACCCCGCAAAAAAAAGAAAAAAAAAAAAAAGAAAAAAAATCTCCAAAGCTAGAAATGTGTAAAATTTACTAATATAATCTGCGAATTTCAAGGTCTTTGTGCAGGGCCAAAATATACAGGCCTAACGTTTTTCATTAATAATATAATTGAACTTGTAGACATTTACTGAAAATAATAATTATCTGCGCCCATCTAGTGTTTATCTTGAGGCTTAAAATCATATTTCTATGATTTCAATGACATATTTAGCTTATCTGTATTACTAGACAGACCTTAGCCATGGACAGACACTTTGCTTGATGTTATAGAACTATCAGAACAAGTTATTGCTTGTTTTATTACTTAGGCCGATGAACAGGTATGAATTCTGTTTCAAATGCTTAGAATTTATTTATACTTGCACTGAACATGAATGGCCCAGAGCAGGAATGGAAAATATGTGGCATCCCTGTGATCACTGCCTACTCTAAGAACTAGATCAAAGCCTTAGCTGCTAAGCTGAACTTGGCCTTGGAATTGCTTAATAGCAGTGAATGCAGCCACCATAAGCAAATAGAAAGCTACTTGCTGTCCATAGTCTAGGGTTAAAATATCTTATTAAAAACCTCATAGATTTCCCTCTTTCCTTCATGTGATTTGCTTTTCTAAAATTTCCAAATATTTTGTGTTGTTTTCATTTTGAAGAGGTAATGATTTATTTTTCTTCAAGAAGAGGATCTTTTGTTGCATTAAAAAAATTCCCCACAGCACCTCACATACTTCTAATACACATTAGGGACTCAATAAATATCTGTGTCTTAAATAGTTTTAATGCTGGAAATATAAGACAGAATTATCACCTGCAACCAAAGACCTGGTCTTAGTGATATCTGTACTGGGGGTCTGTTCTGTCCAGAAGCTCATGGAAGGAATAACAAAGTAAAGAGCCCCAACAAATTAAGTCCTGGGAAACTGGCAGAAAAAGAAGAAATGTGGAAGTTCCAGTTCCTTTTGTGCTACAAGTTTCCAAATTATGAGGAAATATGCCAAATGCGTTTGGCTTTCAAATAATAATATACTCTGAATTAATGAGTAACAAGGAAACACCCACTGAGCGGTTCATGGGCAGTATCTCTCCAAAGGTCAGATCCTATTGGCAAATGACCAAATAACCCTTCTCTCTTGAGCCAGCCAACACTTCTATGGCCAGGAAGCACTTTGCCATCAACTCAGCATTATAAAAGGGAGCAATTAAAAGTATCATTTGCAGTTAATCTAATAACTCCATTGAATATTCCAAAATCTGCTTGTGAAACACAGTTGATTTGGGACCCTGCCGTGATTTGAGGAGAAAGTTTTTTTTTTTTAATGGAAATATAAAGATAAGCCATTTCTTTTAAAAGAGAAATAAAGATTTTTAATATTCTCATTTAGCAACAGTGCATAAACAATAATGTATTAAGATTAACTTTAAGGCAAATGCAACAAAAAGTTATGTAAATTCCCCCCTTAAAACTAAGTGTGCATCCTAAAACACTCTTGTTGATGAATTTGATTTATTTCACATTTTGGGGAGTTTCTAAATTAATTAATTCTTTAACATCAACACATGATGATTTTCTCTGATTTTTGGTAAATACACTCATTTTTCAGATGAAGAAAATGAGAAAGATAAAGGTTCTAATTATTTGCTAATGCGAGTGATAACATATTTAATAAAACCGTGTCATTCATTTACTCATTTAACATTTATTGAATACCTGCTCTGTCTGCACCAGAATTCTGTTAGGCATTAGGGACTAAAGTGAACAAAGTTAGTGTAGTTTCTACTTTCATGGAGCTTACAGTCTAGTCGGAAATCTTGCATTAAACAAGTACAGAAATCACAACTGAGATAAAACAAAAGCAATCAAATAAAGGGTGCTTATAACTTTGTTTACTTAACAAAACTATGGTTTCCTGCAGAGGTGGTTTTATCTTTTTATCTAAATTTTGATTTGTCCTATAGAAGAAATTCAATTAAAAATGTAAAATACAGAAGGTTTACTATAGATCCACTGAATTGTTATTCCTGAATGTTATTTCTGAATTAGTGTTTAATGTTAAAATGACAAGGGTTTTTTTTTTTTTTTTTTGAAAAAAAAAGTGCTAGTTATTGTAGAAATACCTTTAACCAAGGCAGTTTCCAGGGGAATTAATGACCACTTTAGGTTAATGGTCATTGGATTCATGTTCAGCCCTCAATTAAACTCTGAACTTCAATTGTTATTACTTAATTGACTTGGTTATATTTCATGTCAGCATTTCAATATGACCTTCCTTTTAAAAAGTAAAAATTACCCTGACATAATACCATGAGTCTTTAGTTGAGCCTGACATTGTTGCTGCAGCCCACAGTATCTTTATATATGGTTGAGCCTAGAATTTGCTTAGCTTTGCTATCACTAGTGTACTTCCCATTATCCTTGCCTATAAAATGAGACAGCTTAGGATAAATCCAAGTGATGAGGGAAAAGGGATGAAAAAATAAATATATCTGTTGCCATGATTATTATTAAGATGCCAAATAAATCCACTGAGATCCTCACCACTTTATCCTAATTGCAGGGAGTTAGACAGTTTTAACGAATACCTCGAGTATCACAATTAAATACTATCAAGGTATGCTTATTTTAAAATGTTCCTATATTATCTTTTCCTTACAAGTGACTCCAAATATTCAGCTGTTCTTGTTAAGGAGATGAAAACTTAAATCTCCTTTACCTATACATTAAACAACAAGAACAAGTTGGATTTATTTAAACAATGAGTTGGATTTTATATAAAGTGAGTATGACACCCAGATCGAACTTTGCTATACTAAGTGAAACAAATTAAGGCACCAAATGAGCATTTCCCTTCCCCTGTACTGTGGAAATGTTTTAAAAGTCTTTTTGAAGTACTTTGATCAGGCTTTGAAATCATTTTAGTGGATTACTATTGTATGAAAACTGTAATTTATAGCGCTTGACCTAAGCAGCTCTTTGTCTCACAGCCATATTCAAAACAATAGCAGGAAAGTGAAAAACAGAAGGCGAACCCAAGTTGTTCAGGTTATTATTTAATTCATAATTCCATCTTCCTTATTTAATCTTTGGAATCCAAGCATGTTCTTAATAAAACAGGTTCAGATCATGTTTACTAAATGTAGGAAGGTTAGTTTAGAGTAACAAGATTAAATGATCCAAACACATGACCCTTCCATAACCCACGAGTGACTTTACACAGACAGGTTCAGATAGACGCTTCCCATAAATGGTGACATTGCAGGCAAACTTCTATTGTTTGCCTTTTAGTTTCCTCTCAAGTTAAGCTTGCTTTGTTCCTTAACCCTAATCAAGAATGTGCCTATTGAGATTTTCTCCTCTCATCTTGTCACAAAATAGTTATACTTTGAGACAACTTGCTCCCATCAGATCACATGAAAATGGCAAGCTACCCCCAAGATGAATGAGCTAGGAGTGATTCGCTAAATCATACAGACATTTTGCTATTTTAATCAGCTGAACACCACCACTCAGGCTGAAAGTAGCTATATAACCTTACTTTTTTTTTCTCTTTTTGCTCCTTTTGCCAAATCATTTACTGAAGGCATGAACTTCAAGCCATATTTAACCCTGTAAAATCTTATTATCTTAGTTAAAAGTTTTACGATCCTTCTGGTGCCACATATGCACTTGAGTATTTGGGCATGTGGAGGGTGCTTAAGTTGTGTTTCTCCCCAAAGAGGTTAGGCCAATTGCTCCCCACTCCCCAACCAGGTGTATGCATCAGGACATATTTTGGTCCTGGGATCCTGATCTTTTAGAGAGAAAAAGAGCCCAAGAGTAATGAGAAAATGCAGGGTACATGTCCATGTGGAGGGAAACTGGCAAAGGCCAACGCAGGGGAAGATGACATGGAAAAAGTGAAAAGTGAAGTGAGAAAGCATATGGAAGCAGTAAGGATTTATTGCAATTGAGATACCAGGTCTCTAGATGGGAACAGTTAAAAAGAGGAGACATCTAAGGCATCTTGGTTCCAAAGAGAAAAGAAAGCAATGGGTGTAGCTCCCCAGTGAGAAGCAAGTGAATTAACTGTTCACTTCAGCATTAATTAGTGTGGCCCACCAGGGACCATTTAGGTAGATTACCTCATCAGGGCTCTAAGCAGTCCCCTGGCGGCCTGAGTGAGTTAATGCACCCCCTCAAGACCAACAATTTATCATCTTTTCCAGGGGGAATCAAGCCTTGCAGATAATGAACAGGTACACACACCTACAGTTACAAGAAAATTATTTCCCCTGGAGGTCCAGCGTTCTACTTTAGACCCCTGAGACTTCCCTTTTATTTTAGATTTTAGGAGTGTTGTAAAGAGCTGACGTATGCTTCACTAGAAGGCAAAAGAAAAAAAGAGGATATGCAACTGTTTATGGTTTGTTTCTTTTTTGAGGGGGTACAGATGTGAGGTGGGAAGGAGTCTATGCAGTCGCCTTACAGATCAGTACCGGATCAGCTTTGCTTTGAGTTGATCTGTTTCCAGACTTCAAATGGTCGCCTATGTGTTTGTGAGGGCAGATGCTTGGCAAGTCTGCATATGCCAGGGAGAACGTCATTCAGTTTTACGTTTTACACACGCTCCTGCTTTCTGGCTTTGCATAATTCATTAGCATAGTGTGCAGAATGCACCATAAAACAAGATTTGGCTTTAATGTTAATGTTCTAATGATGACAGCAATAAAAATAAGTTGTCATTCCGTGTCTACTTTCTGGGGCTGATGTTTATATTGTCTAAACTAAAAAAACCAGCAAGCAGACAATGCATAGAGATGGAACACAGACAAGTATTTTTAACAGAAAAAGAAACAAACCAAGGAGACTTTAAGCTTCCAGTTGGGAACATTACTCTCTTCTCTCCCATACAGCTCCAATTCAAAAGTAGTATAATTATCACATTAGTTTTTATGTGTGAAAAACTTACTTTTGACTAATTTGTAACCTTATTGTAGTGTGTACAGTTTACTGTTGGGTTCTTTCTCACTTTTAAGGGCCAGATTTTAAAGCCTCATTCATAAAGAGGAGGTAGTGCCTTTGCTAGGAACACCAATACCTTCTCACAACACATTATGTCAGGGCAGCAGGTAAAAGAATAAATACAAAACGCAAGTACCTTTTTTATTTTTTAATTTATTTGTTCACGTTCATCATAATAAATTTGTTTAATGTAAAATAAACAAATCCTTGACAAGGGTTTAACAGGATTTTCAACATCTGTGCAGATAAATGTAATTTATTCCTAAAGAAAAAACAGTTTAGAACATGCCAGGAAACCTGCTTTTAACATTTTTGTATAAAGTGTGTGTGTGTGTGTGTGTGTGTATCCAGGCAATACAGTAGTGGTTTCAAATCATTCTATTTCACTCAGAAGCCTGCATGATGAATTTTATACTGAAACAGAAGTTTGCCTGACCCTTCTTTAGCATTTCATCTTCTGCCTCTCTCTTTTGATTTAATGCACCCCACTCAGAGTTAAAATCCACACATGTTGGGACCAGGTTTGTGTCCTTCAAAAGGAAAAGCAGCAGGCATATTTTTACAAACCTTCTTTGGTAGAAAATAAACAAAGTATAAATGACATATTTAGTCTTTTGAAAAAAATCAAGCAATGTATATAAGTTAAAGCTGTCTGCAAAAATTACATTGTTGTTATTAGTATTTCCCATATCATCTATTCAACATTATAAAAGTTGTTATGTCAGCATGGCAGGGTGGCGGGGGCAAATATTTTACTAAATACGTTTTGGGTACAGATTAATATTCAACTTCCCAAAAGATAGGTTTATTATTAACTTACTGATGTTTCGCTTTAGACTGAAATCTGATTTGCAGTACATAAAAGTACACAAAAGTGAATAAATTAAAGTGAACAAATAGAAAAATCTCCTTTATTTTGCTTATTTAAAAATTGCTCCAGGTTTATTTCTGGCACACTCAGTTCATACAAAGCTAAACATTTCTAATGCTGAACTTACTCGAGTGTTTTATAATTACATGGTATAAAATGCATATACTAAGCAGTATACAGAATGTGCCTTTAAAAAACTCGACTCATAAAAATACTAGCTCACGTACATACTGACAACTAGCCATGTTTAAAAATAAACTCTCCTCAATGTTGGGTTGTCGCCTCTCGGCCCCCAATCTAAAGGAGTGTGGTTTCCAGGCACAATGGAACTAATACTTTCAAATAAGATAAATCTAAAATATGTGGTGTTCAAATAACATTATTAAAAGAGGAAATTCTCATCAAGTGTATTTTTGCACTTGGCTTACTGTCACAGAAGTCAGGAAGCCGTAAAGATTGAATATAGCAAACACACAGCATAGGCAGGCTGCCATCAAGGTCTTCTGGAGCTCTGCAGGTGAGTACAAAGGTGGCTTTGGACTTTGTGGCTTCAGCTTTCCTAGGTTTGCGCTAGATTATTCCACGATGGTAATGCAATGCTGGGTCTCTGTGAGTGCACATGAAGAGAAAGGGAGAGGGAGAGACAGTGAACGGAGGCTTAGGGAAAAAAAAATAAGAGGGTGATTCGGTAACTGGGAGGAGAATTGAAAAATCACACCTTTCAGTCTTCACATTTTTTCTTTTGTTCAGCATACAAGGATAAACCATCCGGAAGAAAGAAAGATTATGACTATCTATAAACTAATTGTTTGACAGAGACAGAAATGCTGATAATGAGTGGGTTGTGTCTGTAGTTCTTGGCTGTTCACATCAGCAAGGGATGAAGGAAAACAGAAACTCTTGATATGTTTGTCTAAAGAGGTAGTGGTGTGACTACGGGCAGCAAGAGTTCAGCTGAAGTTCAGGGCAGATGTTGCCAGGATCTTACAGTGCAGGAAAGTAAAATTGCTTCCGGATTCACCTTTTCCTCCCAGCTTCTCTTCCAGGATCTTCAGGGTCAAGCTATGCTGTGGCATAAGGTGACAATGTTCGTGGGGAAACAGGCTTTGAGCAGGATGCCCCTTTCCCGGTTGCAGTCCAGCTCCTGGATAAATCCATACCAATAGATGACTAAGCCTGGCCCAAATCTGTAAAAACACCAGAAAATAACACACACACATGGTATCAACAGAGCTCTTGAAAAAAGTCACCTTGGGGCACTGATAAGATGATTAAATGACAGGACTGCACAAAATTTTTGTTTTGGTTGCTACCATTGTGACTGAAAATAGCCAAACTTATACCAAAGAGTTCACATAACACACATACTACCTTCTCGGATGGATGTGTTCCCTTTCTTTCCAGAAACCTGAAGTATTTCAGATATGGAAACTCTGAATCTTACCTTTCAGTAAGGTGTTATGAGCTTGGGCTGATGTGACTACCTAGCTGATGGAGGACAGATTCACAGTGCAAACAGGAATGAGCTGGGGAATGCCAGCCTTGGGATTTAAGTCTAACATTTAATGGTACTATTTAAAAAATTAAACTTGCCTAATAGCAACTAAGAAAAATAAAAGAATGTTTGAAAACAGAATTTAAAAAAATGCAACAACTTATGGTCCTCTTCTGGCTATACTGTTCTACTTATGCACCCATTGGGCTGGAAGTACCTCCTGTCATCCATATGACACACTGGGTCCCTTTACTCTCTGCATTACAACTTCTTTAAGTGTGGACACAGCATAAAGTTTGGTCATTGGTGCTTACGGAAATGAGGAATAAGGTCATATAGGCTTGTGACAAAGTATAGATCGCTACGGGCTTAATAAAACCTCAGCATTTCTAAGTTGTGCCCTCTGAATTATCTGCAATTTTGTTAGCAGTGACTGATCCCCGCCAGGCAGACTCAGGAAGTGGCCCTATGGACTACTTCACCCATCAGGAAGTTGAGACCTTTAGGCTGGGTTCATAAAGATGTAATCACTATCAATCACTGCACACAGAGAGATGTTTTGCACATCAGTTTCACGTTTTTCCTACCGAGGGCACTTAATTAAAGGGCAGCACTACTTTTGGTGTAGTGTTGCAGGAATTTTACAGTGAAATAATAAATTATGAATGTTGGGTTAGTAAAAGCATGTCTAAAAACAGAACTGCTTTCTGTATTCTAACATTACAGCAGGCTGAACCATGCTAGGCCAAAAAGCTTTTGCCTTCCATGATTTATTATATGCTGTAGTGTACTTGCCAAAACTAACAATACAGGATGGGCTGCGAGATACTGTATGCACAGGGACAAGTTCAATTGGATGTCACGGCCTGGTTTATTTGGGGATCCACATTAGTGGGGTAGCCAAGTTGTATTCAAGATTATTTAAAACTTTGGGATTCCCCTCTGTGCAGGTACAGAACCATGAGATGGCAGCTCATCACTTGATCTTGTTCTAGAAGATGTAGGAACTGGGTATAATTAGAAGCCTTGGAGCACCAGGCCCACTGAGATTTATCAGCTGCAGATGTTCTCTTCTTCCTCAGCATCCCCAAAGAAGAGATTCCTTTGGGGTCAGTAGAATTAGGCTACCTGTGCACAGGTGTGTGGGTCCCCAGGCTCAAATGCATACAAGACGAAGCTCACACCTGCAGAAGAACTTGCTTCCATTTAACCGAGGGTTTCTTAGTAACTTTTAATCACAAACACTTGTCTGTAATTGGAACATAAACCATTGGTACCTTTATTTTACAAAGAGCTCTATGATTAGTGTCAAATGATCTCAGATTTGTCAAAACAAGTCTGGCAAGAACAGAAAGATTTGTGATTCTGTGGACCATGTCTGAGAAGCCACAAACCTTCCCATCAGTGAAGCACCCCTGAGTCACGGCCTTGACAGATCTAACATTAAGCTCAACACATTCTTCCATTTTATTATACAGCCATTCTGGAGACCATGATGTTCTTCAGAAAGGTGCTAATATTTTCACAAAGGAAGAAAAAAACTGTGATCTAACAAGTCACAGAGAAGAACAAAAGAATATATGGAGGTCATAAAAAACAAGCCCAGTATTTTAAAGATTTAATAAACAAAAACACATATCACCAGCACTGAGCAAGTGAGAGCAGCCTGCACTTTCTTTGAACAGCTAAATCATAAGCCAAAGGACACGAAGCATGACAGCTCTTTACGAAAATGGCATTTTCTAGGCAGAAAAGCCAGGCTGGGGAACACCTCAGTGCTCAAGAAAATGGACTTGTTTCACTTGTGAGGCAACAGATATTCCTGCAACTCAAAAAGGTTTTGCAAGATTGTGAACCTGAACATTTCATGCAGTGGTTCACAACCAGGATTCCCTAAAGATACCAACACAGATCTATGAACATTTTGAGTAGGATTCATTAATAAGACTCTACTGTCTACCTAAGTTTTGTGTTTCTTATGGAACTATGTTTAGGTTAGGTAACATTACCTCTGTCAATGTAGCTCAAAACCTCTGATTGACAATATGTCTCTAATTAATTAAGAATGAGGAAACACAATGTCCCTTTGTAAATAGAGATTGATACGCTTTCAAATTATGTGGTCTTTGGGTGACAAAAGCAGTAAGGACTTTAGAGGGTGACAAGTTTGGAAATTTAATGGCAGAACAAGATCTGGCCTTATTCCCAGCACCTACTTTAGTGCATTTCTGAGCCTTCTTCAACAGCTCAGGATCCAGAGATTATCAGATGCTGACGAGATAATCTTTCAGCAACCTACCTGTTTATGAAGAGGCTGACCACATTAAGCAACTTTATATAATCAATTTCTGGGTTATCTGAAGTAACAGGAGGGGAAGTTTTGGTTGCTAATTTGAAATATCAAGCAATCAAAAATGGTAGAAGAGGTGTAAAATAGGACCCTAGAAAATTTTTATTTAGGTCAAATGCAGACTTTTGGGTTGAACCATTTCCTCTTTTTGATGCCTATTCTTATTTACTGTGGCACCACTAGACAAAAATGAGATCACTGGGAAGGCAAATACAACCTTTGTGACCAATAAAAATCAAAGAGACTTTGTTAACAACATTGAAAAGAAAAGAGAGTCCTTGGGTCTGAGGAGATATGCACAGCAGAGGTTGGTCTGCTACTGAGATTGCAGCCCTCCCTGCCAGCTGGGAGACCCTCAGGAATGGGTGTCCACGGACATCTGAATTGATTCTGGAAACACTTTTTAAAGTTGACTATAATTTTATGGTTGCTATACTCATGGTCAAGTAATAAGATCCAAGACCCCCAATGGATTTTAAAGACTCCTGGGAAGCAGCGACTAGAATGTGAATGACGTTTGAATAAGTAATTTTGCTTGCAAATAAAATATCACCAAATTAGCAAAAACAACAAATACGCCTTGAAAAAATGGGAGGTGAAAGCCAAGAGCCATCACAGACCATGAAGGCAAGAAAGATGAGGTTTTTCATAAGTAATGACCCCTTATAAATATGTTCAAAATGTGTTTCTCGGCTGGGGACAGTGACTCACACCTGTAATCCCAGCACTTTGGGAGGCTGAGGCAGGCCAATCACTTGAGGTCAGGAGTTTGAGACCAGCCTGGCCAACATGGTGAAACCCCGTCTCCACTAAAGATATAAAAAAATTAGCCAGGCGTGGTGGTGCTCGCCTGTAGTCCTAGCTACTCTAGAGGCTGTGGTGGGAGAATCTCTTGAACCCAGGAGACGGAGGTTGCAGTGAGCTGAGACTGCACTACTGCACTCCAGCCTGGGTGACAGAGCAAGACTCTGAAAAAAAAAAAAAAAAAAAAGTGATTCTCTGGTTTCATTTCATTTTAGGGTATTTAGAGAAATTCAATCAGAGACGATGGAACTAAAGCTGGCCCTTCTGTGCATACCTGTTTCCTAGTGAGTATCCCTCTGTTTCACCATTTGTCTGTTATATTGGGACCCTGTTGAGGGTAAAGACCAGGTTTTATTTGTATTCATGACCTCCATGCCTAACACAGTGCCTGGTACATGAAAGATACCCTCAAGGACAAGATGGGCAATACAGGGTTAGCACTAAGATGATCAGACAGCTTTGCATTGGTTATTGAATCAGTGCGAGTCTAGAGACAGGGGTGCAGGCAGGGGTCAGCCATTGCCTCGGCATGGCAATTTTATTAATGACCAGAGTGAGCACACTAGTGGCATACTTACAGGTTATAGTGAAAATAATATAGTTACAACAATGTTCATTATTAACACTTTCACCCCACTTACTATGTGCCCAACACTGTTCTAAGCACTTTAATATATATAGAAGCACTTTATATATATCGAACCACTTAATTTGTATGCCAACTCCATGAGGTTGGTACAATTATTATCCCTGTTCTACAAGTAAAAAAACCAAGGCATAGAACAATTAAGTAGATTGCCTAAGGTCTCACAGCTAAAAAGTGGAGGAACCAGTTTTAGAACCAAGGCAGTTTGTGATGCACTCACTATGAGGTAGTGATCGGTTTACTAAACAGGGTGATAGAATGTTAGACTTTAACCAGAAAAAGAGAGTCAATGTCCTTTGCAATGGTTAAGCCACACCTAGGGCATTTTGGAGAGTTCTGGTGTCATATTTTAAGGGCATGTCTCCAGTTTGAAAGTCAACCAAAGGAGAATCCTAGGATATTTGAGGAATGGTTAGAATAAGAGTATGTCTGATTTAGAAATGAACAGTCAAGGTTCACTAACACACTCATCATGTTCTGATTTTGAGAGTGCTCTTATGGAGGAAGGATTTGATTCGTGCTGTAGCTCTCAAGTGCAGACTTAGGACAATGCTTGAAAGTAGCCAAGAATTAGATTTTGATTCCACACAAATAAAATTTTTTGTATAACTGAAACTTTCAAAAACATGGAGTGAGCGGCCTTGCAAAATAGTGACATCAGTAGATCTGTTAAATCAAGGCTGGGCTTTCATTAATTTTAAAAAATTGAACCAATGCATACAAATTGGGAATGTTTACACAAAATCCTGCATATTTAGCTTTTTTTGAGAAACTAATCAATCTGGCAACAAGCAACTGAAGATAAGTAACAGCTGCCCCCTTCAGATATAACCTAGGTTCGCGGGACTGCCACAGTCCCCACTGTTCTCTGTCACTTTCTGATGCCGAGGATCAGTGCCAGGTATACCAACTGAGCTTCTTAGCTCCTAACTTGCACTATACAGCAATACTCCTCCTTGCTGCATATCTAGGATGCTAAGGTTACATAAAATAAAGAATTCTCCATATTTTCTCCAGTTCTATTGTTTTGGTAAACTTGGTTATTGGGTTCCTGAAGCTGCATATTTGAAGGAGTTGGTTACAGGGAGAACACTTTGTCAGTCAAGGTGAATTCCTGCTGGCAAGCAGTGAAGAGAGACATAAAAATGCCCCAACTGTGAGAGTCCCTGGCTGTTTGGTGTTGGGGCTAGCAGGCTTTGTCGATCTCAACAGGTGTTGAGGACAGTGCAGGAAACACAAATGCTGCTTACATTTTGTTCAGTTTTAAAAAAGGCAGTGAAAGCTGTTAATGTATTTTTAAAAGATTATCACCAAGAATGTTTTAAAAATGGTACTTCAGTGAGTAAATTCTTAGTTTTGGAGAAAAATCTAGCTATCCTCAGATAAGCCCTGAGGATTCCAGATTGCGAATGTTGGACAGAATATGATATAAGTATCTTTCTGTTCAAGGTTTCCTGTAACTCTCTGAGAAACTCAGTGGTTCAGACAGAAAATTTGGCTCCCCAAATTCAGGAAGAACTTGCTTACTCTTTTTTTTTAAAGTATAAAACTAAATACTCCCCTTTCCTTGCCACGCCTCTAACACTATCCTATAATTCAGGAATTACTAGGATGAGGCATCTTTACTTATGGAGAATGGAGAAGATTATTAACTTCCTATTGTTATACTTTTCCTCAAGGCATCCTCTTCAGAGACTGTTGAAAAGAAAGGCAGATGAAGGAATTTAGAGGTTTCGAATCATACTATTAGATATCATCTTGCTAAATTAACCCCAATAACCCCTCGTTGGTTTCCTGAAGCCAGCTGAGCTTCTAGATCTCCACAGATTTCAGGGAGCCCTTGACCAATCATTATGTCTATAAAGATGCTAAGTACATATAAAATAATATAAGATCTCAATAATCAACAACAAAGAGGTAACTAATATTTACTGAGCAGGCAGTGTTTCAAGAACTTTTACATGTACAGACTAATTTGGTACTCACTGCCACCCTATGAGGAGGGCACTATGACTATCCTCATTTTACAGATGAAGAAACTGGGGCCCAAAAAGGGCCAGGTTTCGAACCCAAGCCGCCTGGCTCTATGGCTTACCCTTGTAACTACTATGCTTTACTGTCTCATTATACCTTGTGTTTATATAGCATTCTATAACAGTCATTTGACTCTGAAAAATATTTACTACACCTGGATAGGTGATAGGCAAGCAGGGGTCCAGAAGCAAGGCAACTGATCAAAACCCCAGTATATGAGTTGGGATCCACCTATCTACACAGGGAATAACTCTAAGTTTGATGTCAATAGTTTCACGCTAAAAAGTTTATCTGGCTACTTATTTCAATTTAAGTATCACCACATTTAGGAAGTAGATGGAAAAGCAACCCATAATTCTGGCAAAAGAAATGAAAATAATTACTTTTGAGGGAGCATATTTTAAACCTTTGACAAACAGGTGGAAGTAAGCTAGGGAATGAGAATTACAGAATCACTACATAAAGTTCAGAGAAGAGAAATGTCTCACGCTGTGAAGGGGTTCAGAAGTTATGGGGCAGAATCTAAACATGAGGGAAGAGGAGTAAATCCAGAACACTGCCACAGCTTGTTCATATAAATGGAAATAAACAGCTGGAATAAGTTATGAGGAAAACTGAGGGAAGCAACGGGTCTAAGTGAACGTATGAGGTAGAGATTTGTTTTCCCAGAAAAGAAGGTTCAGAACTTGTTAAACAGGGTGATACAGTATGCCCCAAAGGCCCCAGTTTTGCTCCTAAAATACCTCTAGTATACAGATGCATCTTATGTTTGTGCCATTAACTTGGCTTACCCATGTTTTCAGCTCTATGAGAAAACCACTACATATATTTTTTAAACTAGTATGCTTTTACATCTCTTTTGGTAATAAGACGGTGAAAGGTGTGGGATTTATGTACTATTACATAATTTGTCTCTCTACCTGTAATCACGGAAACTGCTGAAATTGACCTAATACTTTTCTTCCCAATGAGCTGAATTACCATAATTGCATAAACAAGGATTCTCAGTGCAGTAGAGTCCTACAATATAAATCTGCATCTAGTCAATGAAACAAACAATTCTCAATTGAAGAATGACAAGTAGACTACGGAATGATCTGATAATTTTAAGTTTCTTGTTCATGAGGGTCTTCATCAAACAATAAAAACATACAGAAACCTTCATTCCTAGCCCAAATTTTTTATTTCAATCATAGGGAAATAAACTCCTTCTCTAAAACAAGAACAGCAGAGAATCATATATATATATATATATATATATATATATATATACACACACACACACACACACACACACACACATATATACACACACACACACATATGTATAATCATAATCATATATATATTTCTTTTTCTCTTATTATGAGTTGCTGTGTGGGGTCTGTGCTATCTTCTGAGGATGTGTGCAGACATGTGGCTGTTGGAAGTCGATTGTTTCACCATCAAAAAAAGACTTGCATGTGGTTTTTATGAAGAGTGCGTTTTCAAACACATAGTTCACGATGAAGGAGAAACATAAAACATCTTGTAATTGTTTTAAAATAAACTCTTACACTGTTTATTTAGTTTTAATCTACGTGTTGTAGATTGGTTATGCACTTGTTAATCACTGTTGTATGTATATCCAGACAGAGTTGTAAATAACCTTTCAGTCCAAGTGAAATATGCTTGCACATGTTTATATGCAAAGTATGTGTATACTTATGCCTGTGTGTAAATACGTGTACAATAATAATAGATTAGTGATCATGTAATATAACATCATAAAGTTCTGGCACTATGGTCAATTTAATATACAATACAAATATTCTTTTTTCGTAGAAATGAAGTTAAAATATGATAACTTGGTTGTTTCATCTACTTTTTCTTACCTTGCCAGGTCTGTATTTGCAGACTGAAATGACCAAAGAAAGAGAACCTAGTTATGAGTATTCTCACTCAATCTATGCATGTTGGCTATGAAAAGTGCAACTTTATCTCTTTGAAACAACTTTCTATAATTTTGAAAATAAAAAAGTAAAAGCATATGATAAATACTGATTCACTTTGGGCCTTTATGCCACAAAGAAAATGTTATTTTGAACAAAAATTTAAATGTATATAAATATACAACCACAACACTCTGAAATTCTCCATGGTGATTATATACCTTGATATTTTCACATCCATGTTAAATTACCTGAAAAAGTAGTTAATTTCTACTTTGCTTTGTTCTATATTGGATATAGATAGATGCTATATTTATAATCTTTCTAGCCTGTTGTAAATCTTTTCTCAGAAGATTACAATAGAAAACAAAGGCAGAAGTGATTTTGTCTTTAATCTGTTGTCTTTACTCTCTGTTTTCTAGAAGAAATGTTTACTCCTGGATTGGGTCAGCCCCTCTGCATTTACCTATAAGAATCTACATACAAGCTTGTCTATCCATCCTGCATAGAGCACAAGTCACAGAAGAAAAGCTCCTCTCCATAAATTGCTTAACATAGTAATCAATATCTCTTCACATTTTCAGAGTAAACTATATCACTTGAATAAACAAAATGCCAAAGGGTTCACAGTAACAGACTAATTAGAGCAATGACAATGATTCTAGAAGTCTTCCTGGAAAAGGCAACTATTTAACTATGTTGTATTTATTCACATCAGCCCTTTAAACTTTCTCCATGATACATCCATTTTTGAGGGGAGGGAAAGGTGAGGTTAGGGGTCCCGAGAGACTTAGAGGGATGATGGGGTCAGAAGTATATTGAGATGATTTCACTGGGAAACGGGAGGATGAGTTTCAGGACAATAGCTGTGGTTCTGTTTCAAACAGGATGCATGGAGAAGACAGAACACCTTCTCAAATGGGAAGAGAGAGACAGCAAACATAGCAAAAGACATAGAAACCCTAAAAGTAACAAAGTACCCGAAGTTATGTTTACTTTGAAAACACTTACTTACTTAAGTACTAAAACGAGAGAACACTTCATGTGGACACTGGGTGCAAATCATGTCCATCGATCTGGAATTTATACCCCAGCCTTCTTCCAAAAGTTGGGGGTGTTTGTTTTAACAAAATTGGTCGTGTGAATTATTACATGTTTTCTCAGTTATTTCCCCAGGGAAACACGCCAAAGGCAAACCCATCATTTCAGCTGATTTAGTGTTTGATGCCAGAGAATTTATAATTGATATGACAACCATAATGGATAGTGATCATGGAGTTGGCAAGGCCTGGCTGACAGTGGTGCAGTCCATTTTGGTGTTTGCCAGTTAATCAACCATCAGACTTGCTCTGATGAATTTTGAGGTGATTTCTGAACTTTCCATTTCTAACTAACTTTCTGAATATTAGAAATTAGAACCACATTATAAAATGGAAAAGACTACATAAATCTTGCGTACCCAAAATATGTCTTTTTCAAGTAGCCCTTAATTATTCGCTAATGGAGGGAATGGAGTTTCTTTTTCCTTGGCATAGTTCTCAAAGGATCACAGGGTAACCCAGAGTTCGGTCAGATGTTTATCTCAAGGAACAAAGAGATTTATGGGTTTTGGATATATAAAAGTCTGCTTAAAATAAAAAATTATTGGAATTTCATCCTCGGCAAAGTCAAATAACTGAAGGATTAGGGCTGATACATGTTTGCCCTATAAATCTATCATTAACCAAATGTGACACAATGCTTTGGTATGTCAGATCCCAACTCACTCTAAATGGGCAGTTAAATTTTTCTCTTAGTCACAAGAAATATTTAATGATAAGGAAAATCTCTTTGGCTAGCCAACCTAGTCCCCAAAAGCAAAACATCCCAATTTTGCAGATTCATGAAGGCAAATGCCAGAAAGGGGAAAAAAATAAATTAGAAGTTAGAAATGTCTAGATCATTAGAAAAAATGATCAGATAAGGAAAAATGATTTTAAAAATGGGTCTTCAAAAATTATGGATAACCTGGCCTTGCAGTTATCAAACAAACACTTCTTTTAAAATGTAAGCTTCATGAGGGCAGCTTGTATTTCAGTGGCACATAGGAGTCAGCCAATACATATTTGTTGAGTGGATATATGAATACACAAATGAATATCACTCTACAGTCCCTTGCCCTAGAAGAAGAAGATGTCAGTGTTACTACTCATTTGGAAAATAATTTTTTTTTTTTTTTTTTTTTTGCTAATAACTCTCTACTATATAATGAAGGAAAGTCTTTTTTTTTTTGAGATGGAGTCTTGCTCTGTCACTCAGGCTGGAGTGCAGTGGTGTGATCTTGGCTCACTGCAACCTCCGCCTCCCAGGTTCAAATGATTCTCCTGCCTCAGTCTCCTGAGGAGCTGGGACTACAGGCATGCACCACCATGCCCAGCTAATTTTTGTATTTTTAGTAGAGACGGGGTTTCACCATGTTGGCAAGGCTCGTCTTGAACGCCTCACCTCAGGTGATCTGCCCGCCTCGGCCCCCCAAAGTGCTGGGATTACAGGCATGAGCCACCATGCCTGGCCACGGAAAGTCATTTTTAAAGGTAAGAAAATGAGCCTTAAAAATATGTCCAAGTTGTACACTTCTGAAGAGCGAATTGCAAGATTGCTGGGATTGCTGGTAGGAATCTATTCTGTCTAGGATATTAAGGGGGAGATGATGCTGTGGTTTAAAGAGTGGTAGAAACCAAGAGTACTAGTCCCTGTAAGTAACACTACTGATGGTTAAAGTGGTGGCTGCAAGGCTGTGAGCAGCAAGAATTGGCTGCTAGGAGGAAAGACTGCACTTGGGAGCCAATTGCTGCACACAGGTGGCTCTTGCTTCCTTTAAATACAATCAGTTTAGGTAGGCTTTTGTTTACAGTCGCTTTTATCTAGAAGATAAGGTTGTAAAAACATCAATCAAAATGAAGTACTACTGTTCCTGGCCATATCTCAGCAGGTTCATCTGTTTTATTTCTTCCTCCCTTTCCAAATACCTTAAGGTGTTTAAGATGAGTGAAGAGATAGCAAACTATTAAAGTGAACTGTATTTGTATATGACACATGGATTTGCACTCATTGAACCACAACTGCCATCTCTACAATGCCTATGTCATTCCTAGGTTCAGCAGGCATCTGTGTTCTTCACAGCTCTACTTTTCCATAACATACAAACTCTACAAAATGATCTTTGCACCATTTTCAATAGTGCTCCTTTAAGAAAATGAGAATCTTACAGTTTCTGTATGTCGGTTGTGCGGCTTTTAATGTATTTATACTCTGCCTTTTCTTCAAAGAGTCATGATAGCAAAATAGAAAATTAAGCTCAGCAAAAGGGAAATGCAAATATGTGAACTTCAAAGGTCAACTTTATAGTTAGAAATTTTAAGTCTGTAAAGATGGTACCTGATTATATTTTAAAGGCATAGCTTAATTAATGCTGGATCTGCAAGATGAAGTTCTGAGCCACAGACATTTCCAAACGAAGAGGGATGCTCTGTTTAGGGAGTTAAAAAGGCACACTGGTCCAGCTCCAGAGGATGGTTCCCGACAGGGCAACATCTCATGGGGATTTCAAGCCCCGATGTATGAACATCTGAGGTGAACAGAAGAGGCTTGACTGCATGAGCAGACAGATGCCTGGTAGGGGACTGGATGCCAGTGCTAGACAGGTCTGGGAGGCCATCCTGCACTCGATTCTGGTTGTGCTGAGGGTCTGTGTGGTGGAAAATATCTTACCTGTCATTCTTGAGGTTTTGTGAATCATTCTGCAGTTCTGGGCTTTGTAATTTTTTTCTATTTGGTTCCCTCCTAAGCACAACGAGAGTAAGGCATTCTAGTAAATGTAATGCCCCTGCAGCTAATCCATGACTGACTACTCCAGATTTATTTTCCTGGCATAGCCCCAAGATTTCTCTATCTATAAAGTGAATAGAATAGCATTTGTGCCCTGAAGTTCAAGGTGGATTTGAGAATAAACTTCATAACAACTGAATCTGTATATGTTCATTGTTGCCTGATGCCAAAAACCCCACCCAACAGTAGAATCTAATAAAGAAATTTTCTGAACTCTTCTCCACTAAATCCCCACCACAGATCTTTCCATGAGTAGACTAGATCTCTGTCCAGAGATCTGGAAATGAACTCAGTAGGAAAAAGAAAACTGTTATCTGTAAAGTACTAACCAAAGGCAATACAAGGTCATACTTTACCCAGGATGAAAATTTGTAACGCAGAACTGAGGGGTAGGAAACGTGAGTAAACTAGGTCAGAAAATTTCCTAAATTTATAATTAGATAAGATGTTTCTTTGAGCTAGAGAGCAGGAAGAACCATTTCACATGGTCATTTCTGCCTTGAAAAATAAGAGCTAGTTCAGGTGCAGAGGTTCATTCCTGTAATCCCACCATTTTAGGAGGCTGAGATGGGAAGATTGCTTGGGCCCAGGAGTTCGAGGTTGCAGTGAGCTATGACTGCCCCACTGCATTCCAGCCTGGGCAACAGAGTGAGACTATATAAATAAAAATAATAAATAATAATAAAAATAAATAAAAACAAGAGCTGATCAGCTTCATGAGACCAGGAGAAACTCTACTTTAAAAGAGACTAGACAGAAAATCCTGGTGATGTCAGTGACCTAAATGTTATTTAAATATAAGTTTCTGTTGTTAATAACATGACACTGCTGTGCCTGTTTGAACATTTAAGTCTAGTTTACACAACAAAGAAGGGCTGCATACACCAATTTCAGGGCAATGAAGTTTCACTGTACCATCTTGAATACATTTCCTATTAGACCAAAAACTTAAAACATTTTTATTACTTTTATTGGTATATAAAATTTTGTGTATTTATAGGGTACATGTGATAGAATGTGTAATGATCCAGATAATTTAGGGTATCCATTACCTCAAATAATTATCATTTTGATGTGTTAGGAACACTTTAGGTTTTCTCTTCTAGCTATTTTGAAATACACAGTACACTTTTGTTAACTACAGTCACCCTACTCTGCTATTGAACATTAGAACTTACTCCTCTATCTGACTGTATGTTTGTATCCATTAACCAACCTCTTTTCATCCACCCACCCTCTTAAACTCACACTCTTCCCGGCCTTGGATAGCTGTCACTCTACTCTTTACCCCCATGAGATCAACTTTTGAAGCCCCGATATATGAACGAAAACATGTGATATTTGTTATTCTGTGCCTGGCTTATTTCACTTAACATAATAACCTCCAGTTCCATCCATGTTGTTGCAAATGACATGGCTTTATTCTTTTTTTATGGCCAAATAGTATTCCATTGTGTATACATACACATTTTCTTCATTCATTCATCCACTGATGGACACTTAGGTTGATTCTATATCTTTGTTATTGTGAATAGTGCTGCATAGAGGTGCAGATATCTTTTTGATATGCTGATTTTAGACTAGGAGCATTTTGAAATCTTGCCAAGTTTAATAGTTCATCTTTGTTTTAATATTTGCTTTTTAAAAAGAGAAAGAACAAAGCAACCCAAATGTCCACTGATAGATGTATGAATGGATAAAGAAATGTAATATACATGTACAATGGAATATTACACAGTCTTAAAAAAGAGGAAAATCCTGTCACATGCTACAACATGATTGAACCCCAAGGATATAAATTATGCTAAATGGAATAAGCCAGTCATAAACGGACAAATACTGTATGCTTTCACTCAAATAAAGTATCTAAAGGGGTCAAAATCATAAAAAGAGGAAGTAGAAAGGTAGCTGCCAAGGGTAGGAGAAAGAAGAAATTAGTGTTTAATGAGTATGGGTTTGTTTTGCGAGATAAAAGTTCTAGAGATCTGTTGCACAAAAATGTAAACATGCTTAAGACTGTACACTTAAAAATAGTTATGATGTCACACCTGTAATCCCAGCACTTTGGGAGGCTGAGGTGGGTAGATCACGAAGTCAGGAGATCGAGACCATCCTGGCTAACACAGTGAAACCCGTCTCTACTAAAAATACAAAAAAATTAGCCAGGCGTGGTGGCGGGCGCCTGTAGTCCCAGCTACTCGGGAGGCTGAGGCAGGAGAATGGAGTGAACCCGGGAGGCGGAGCTTGCAGTGAGCCGAGATCGCATCACTGCACTCCAGCCTGGGTGACAGAGCAAGACTCCATCTCAAAAAAAAAAAAAAATAGTTATGATGGCATATTTAATATTATGTGGGGTTTTTTTTTTCACCACAGTAAGAAAATAATGAAAAAGCAACAACAGAAAATAGAAGAGCATTTTTAACTAATAAAGTCTCTGGGAAGAAGATAATGTAAACAGATAACTAGCGAAACAGATGATGGTTACTGTTGGGCACGGCACTTGCAAAAAGAACACGGAAAAGCATTGGGACACTGATGCTGGCCTTTAAGGCAGAGTGGGGATCACACAATGGGGTTTTAGGAAGCCCAGTGGCCAGCGGCAATTTCTAAAGCTGCCCAAACTCTTTGTTTTCTCGCGATTAATGAAGCCGCTTTTTATCAGACAATTGCAGGAAATAAATACCAAGTTAAGGAAACAAAAACTTTGCCTTGTAAAGAAACAGTTGAAGGATCATGCCTGAGTACAGAAAACTGCAGGGCTGGATCCAAAGGGCAGGATAAGCTTTAGTGAACTCTGGTTCTATTCTTCAAGTGATGAGGAGAGGAATGCTTCACAGTTCTTAAAATACTTCCACAAAGTGTACAGTAATTTATCTAATCCCCCAAAAATGCATTATTCTGATAGGACAGCTGAAGAAATTGAGGCTCTCTGAGGTCAAGTGACTTGCTTAAGATAACACGGGAGGGACTGACAGCATGGACCTGGCTCTACTTACTTCTAGTATAGTGCTCTTGTCAGCTTGTAATGCTCTCTCCCCCTCACCCTCACTGCAGAATAGGGCCAGGAATACCTTCTGCTTCCCTGAAAAGGAGGCCATGTTTTGGTGAGGCAAAGATAACATGAACCCAGCTCCTGTCTTTCAGGGACTCTCAGTAGTAAGGGAGACAAGCAGGTAAAAAGATGAGTGTATGAAAGAAACAGAAAGGTTGTTAAGAGAGCTATGCAGAAGGCCCTGGGGTAGCTCAGAGAAGGAAGCACTTAACTCTTACCTGGCAAGGCTCTGAGCAGAGGGGAGGTGTCTCTGGGTTCAGTCTTGAAGTCAAAGTTCACCGAGTGGGTAAGAGGGGGGAGATACTTCAAGGAAGAGCCACATGCAGATCGAGTGGAGAGAAAGATCAGGGGGACTTTCAGGACGGTGCAGGAAAGTTCAGGAGAAAGAAAGATCATGGCCATGCACGACACAGCTTAAAGGTGGAGTGGGAATGGGGCTGATGAGGACCGGAGGGAAGGGCACGGTATAGCAGACCAAGGTGCTTGGTGGGCCCGATGGGATGCTACACTGATAGAAAGCCCAATCCTATCAAGTACAAAGGAGGCCTTCGCCTGAGGGTGATCCTCTTTCTTGAAACCCAAATACTCTGGGCCATGTTTCTGCATGGAATCTGTGAGCTAAATATTTACTTTGTGCTGGACCAAAGTATCTACTGCAGCTCACTTATTTGGGGATAAACAGATTCAAGAAAAGCGTACATTAAAACAAATCCACCCTCCCCCCCAGCCCCACCTCATTTCCACTTCATACAGAAAAAAGACTGTCATTCAAAAAAATTGAAAACTATACTGAGGGCTCAACTTTCCGGAGTCATTGGGACAAAGTATGTGTATATAAACATTCACAGCCCAGCTCCACAGGGTTCCCCCGATTTGTATTTTTTGAGAAGTCTGCGGGCACGAGGTGAACGGCTAACAGTTTCCTTAGTGAGTTACACAGAAACTTTATTTAACTTAACAGGAGTCATTAGCTGAATTTTATGGAGATAAGGACTTCCAGGAGTGAGTTCCCTTCTGATTGTTTTTTGATTAAAAACAAGACAAGAGAGAGCTACACTTCGATGCTCTGACAACCTGCAGTTTTACTTTACAAACTCTATGGCTCTAAGATGGCCCCATAGAGCCACCAGGGCTGGGGCTGCGGTTTGATTTCACTGAGTTGAAAGCAATCTGTCAATGTGAAGAGGAGTTAGAAGGTTATTTTAAACATTTAGTTAAGCTTGTGACGGTCTTTCTTTTAGAGGCGTTCCTGGCTGCAAACTGCCTCATCCTGGGTGACATAAGACAAGCTATTGCATGAGGTTAGACTGAGGTCCCTGCGTGCTGGTCTGCGCGTGCTGCCATTAGCTGATTAATATGTGTTTATTTTTAGGGCCTGAACTAACAGACCAGGCTAAGGCCAATGCAAGATAATATTTGAAGTACTCTGTGAGCATCTCATGCTTACAAAAGGCCCTACTTTGTGTGAAGTTATTGATGTAGGTGTAGTCCCTGTCAGCCTAGTAAAATATAATACACCAAATGCAGAGAAAACCCCACCCAACTCCATTATAGAAAGGACCACTGCTAAAACACATCGATGATCACTTTTAAAAGAAACACTTGTTGAAGGAAACAGGAAGATAAATATGCCTAACTAGCTATGAGAACTGGTTGAGTCCAAATACTCATTCAATACTAGATACTAAATAACAACGATTCCTAATATTATGTCCAATGTCTTCCATAAACAATAACTAGGTTTTAAATTTATTTTTAATGAGATACTTATGCCTCTACAGATATATGGTATAATAAAATCCATATGAATTTATGGCCTTTATGTAGACTTAGAAGATTTATGATTCTAAGGAGTTCAGAAACAAAATGGTAAAAAGACTCTTCTGTTGTTGCCAAACTATAAGTTTAAAGACGTTACAATTATATATTTATTTGCATTTAATGTTTATCTCCTCCACTAGATAGTTTGTGCTATGCAGGCAAGTGTCTTGTCGACTTCATTATTACCTGGCATTTAGTGGTTAATGGCACACAGTAGACATTGAATAAATATTTGTTAAATAGCCAAATAATACAGAGAAAAGTCAGGCAGAGTATCTTTGCATAGCTATTTTGTGTAGGTCTAGTTTAGATGTCAAACCTTATGGCATATGTAAGATGGGCTGAATGATTTGAAAATACTGCTATTGTTTGCTTTACTGATTCATTTGCCTTTGTTCATTTGAGGAGCTTTCCTACTTCCTCAAGAAAGAGGGCCATTGTAAATGATAAGAACTCAAGGACACAAAGAGGAGAACAACAGACACTGGGACCTACTCGAGGGTGGACAGTGGGAGGAGGGAGAGGATCAGAAAAAATAACTATTGGGTACTAGGCTTAGTACCTGTGTGATGAAGTAATCTGTACAACAAGCTCCTGTGACAAAAGCATACCTATATAACAAGCCTGCACATAGATCCCCGAACCTAAAGTTGTTGTTGTTTTAAAACAAGAAAGAGAGCCATTGGTGCTGACTGGCACACTCAGAGAAAAGTTAAAGTTAACTGCTTTTCATGCTTTATGTTTTTTCTCCCAGGGAATTTGCTGGAATATTTTTAGAGGAAAATGAACTGGAACTTTTCCCTTTTAGTTTAAATTGGTCATCTCAACCTTTAATATTTTTTAAAATTGATACATAATATTTTAGACATTTATGGGGTACATGTGATATTTTGTTACATGCGTAGAATGTGTAATAATCAAGTCAGGGAATTTAGGGTATCTATCATCTCAAGTATTTCTTTCTATGTGTTGGGAACAATTAAGGCCCTCTTTTCTAGCTACGTTAAAATATACAATACATTGTTGTTAACTATAGTCACTCTACTCTGCTGCCGAACAACAAAACTTGTACCTTTAGTCTAACAGTATGTTTGGGTCACCTCAACCTTTGTGATGATATGCAATATTGCAACACTGGCGTACCTTCCTTACCTTTTAGGTTAACACAAATCCAGTTCTAGCCAGACTTCTGAACAGTAACAACTCTGGAAAAGGTGCATTTAGAGTTTAGAGCTGGGAAAGATTGCTGGCAACAGTTCCAATTCCCTGCCAAGTTCTGTGCTTGAGGCTGAAAAGCAAGGTGCTATTTTATTTATTAGACTTCACAGAAAGACACTGGAGATCTCAAGAGACCAACAGTCCAGTCTGTAAAGTTGTTATATCCACAATCAGATCAGCTAGGTCCATAACGGGGACACATATGGCAATTTACCACCACGATTTCCACAGGGAAGCAACCCTTGTGGCTTCAGTCTATTTTCATGATATAACAAACGTAGATCAATCACCCACAGCTCCCAACATTTATAACACCCTTTAGGCTTATTTATGGACCAAGCATTAGTTTTACTGAAACAGACCAACAGCCACCATTTGAAAGGCGAATTCTTTTATCTCACCAAGATTACTCAATGGTTTCTAGGACTGACTTTGGTAGGCCTCACTAGCCCCATGTCAATTTTGAAGATTCTTTACTTTAATGCCTTTAGATAGTCAGTTGCTGCTCTCAAACCTTCCAGCACAAGAACAGACATTTCAGAAGAGGATGGAAATAATAACTTTCACGAGGAGGAAGGACATCATGTGTGGGGCATAATTTTAAGAGGAAGCCTTTGAGACTCACGGTGTGATGTCTGGACTTTGTCTTAAGCCTCTCTTCTAGCTATTTTGTAATAAGTATACCTTACTGTTAACCACTGTCTCCCTAATGTGCAACAGAACACCAGAAATTATTCCTCCTATGTCATGGTAACTTTGTACCTGTTGACCAACCTTTTTTTCAGACTTCCTTCACCCATTAATTTTTTAACAAAATATACATCTTGAAAAACTAGGAAGGTCGCAGAAGATTTAGAGTATATATATTGACTCAATGCCCACCTTCTTTTCCAAAGTGTTTACCATAATCTGATTAAACTTTATTTAAAATGTTTCTATATTTGTTTACTCTAAAGGATTGAACATAATTAGCTCAAGAAAATGGTCTGCAATTTTGGAACTCCTCAACTTGCATGTGTGAGTGGCGGATGTCAGTTTTTTGGACAAATGTACATAAATTACCCAAAGTTAAATGACAGTAATCATGCAGGGAATGGAAGCACTAGGGACAGTCAGTCTAGAGCAAGCTTGTCCAACCCACAGACTGCATGTGACCCAGGATGGCTTTGAATGCAGCCCAACACAAATTCGTAAACTTTCTTAAAACATTATGAGATTTTTTTGTGATTGTTTTTAAAGCTCATCAGCTATTATTAGTGTTAGTGTATTTTATGTGTGGACCAAAACAATTCTTCCAATTTATGCTTGTATGGTACTTTATGCTTTCTAGAAAATGCGAGTCTGTTATTTAGGAGGATGAAGTATTCAGAGAAACTAAGTGACTTCCTGGAGACTTATTGGCAAGATACTGGAGTTATTAGGATGAAGGTCTTCTGATTTCTTGTTCAGAGTTTACTAAGGAACCCTGGAAAGTTTTGGTGAACCATTTTACCCTATAAACCCTATCACATTTATCAAATGAGTCCTTACAATTTGCATCTTATCTTGTAAACAGAAATAAAAAAAATGATAATTATTCAGTGTTTAAATGCTACAAATTTGATATAATTGCTAAGCATTATTAAAATATATTTAAGTAATAATTTTGTTTTGAAACTAATTGAGATATTCAGATATTTCACATTTTGCTGACTTCACCTTCTGACAAGCTATTTTTTATTTCGTATTCATAGACAAACCTTTAAAATATATAAATTGGGTTTTTTTATTTTTGGTCAGGTATCCTAAAACTTCTGAAGGTAACATTAATTTTTATCTGTCAGGATGTACTAATTAGAGCTTCAAAAAAATTAAAACATTATGCCTGAGTTCAAACTGCTCATCTGTTTTTTTAAAAATATAATTATCGGGCTGGATGTGGTGGCTCATGTATGTAATCCCAGCACTTTGGGAGTTCAAGACCAGCCTGACCAACATGTAGAAACCCTGTCTCTACTAAAAATACAAAATTGGCCAGGTGTGGTGGCGCATGCCTGTCATCCCAGCTACTCGGGAGGCTGAGGCAGAAGAATCGCTTGAACCCAGGAGGCAGAGGTTGCGGTAAGCCGAGATGGTGCCATTGCACTCCAGCCTGGGCAACAGGAGTGAAACTCTGTCTCAAAAAAAAAAAAAAAAAAAAAAAAAAATATATATATATATATATATATATATATATATGTATAAAATTATCGTCATATTGCTCTTTAAATGTGAGGCAATATTTTACCTTTCCAGGTAAGTGAAAATATATTGGTCTTAGTTCAATTTCACAATTGTGAGTTGTACAATTTCTATTAAAAAGTATGAATAACATCATTTAAAGTATGAATAATATCACATTAAATATATGATACATATTAATACATATTTATCATATTAAATATGTGATACATATCTAAATATATGATACATATTACCTAGTCTTTGGTCTTTGCTATGATTCCTATGGCTATATATTGGGAATGAAATTAAAACAAAAGGACATTTTTCAAACAAACAGAAATCAGTCCTTAAGTGACAGAATAGACTATCTCTATAGTACGATTAAAATCTAATTTTCAGAATTAATACTAAGAAGATATAAAAGTATATGTATTATCACAATAGTGCTATAAGAACAACTTATTTGATATTAGTTAACCAAATAGATTTTGGGGAGTTATGTATATTCACTATAATCTTAAGACAGTTCTGGATACAATGAGAGATAGTATATTCAAATAACAAAAGACTGAATAAACTGTATACAAGTGACTATTGATTTTAAAGGGCTAGAAAAGTAGTCCTTCTAACTTTGCATCATTCTTATTATTACAGTATCCTTGCTAATGCAAATGAAAGTGTGGGTTAAGAGTATGAGAGCACAGCTACTAATATTACACTGAAATGCTTGAAAAGCTACCACATTTCAATGGTAGTGATGGAGGTGGCTTATTTAACTAAAAAGGTGAAATTTCTATTTGGTTTTGAAGGATGAGAAGAAGGATATAAGATGGAGAAGCATGTATGGGTAAGAACCAGGGCAGAGACAAAAATAGAGGCATCCATGCCTGGTACTTCAGGGCTTCCCTAGAACTCAGTTTGAAAATCAGTGCAGTAGCCAGTTAAAAGAATAAATCTGGAAATAAAAAACAAAAATAAAAACAAAACAAAGATTGAATCTGATGACACACGTCTGGAAATGATGCGAAGACAGGTACCTAGACAAGACTGTTGGAGGAGTAAGGAGACCAGGGGTGTGAGGATGGAAACATGAGGCCAAGAATGTAAGGGGCAGGTGGAGGAGAAGGAACAAGCAAAGATGATTATGCCGGCAGACAGGCATCAACAGGGTGGAAAGAGAATCAGGAAAGAGTGGTATCACAGAAGTCAAGAGTGGGTTTGAAGGGTCAGAGAGAGGAGAGTGGTCAAAAAGGATAAGGAGCAAGACATCTCTGCAGGGTCTGACAACTAGGAGGTACTATCAGAGCAGTTACACCCCAGAGATGGAGGTGGAGACAGACTCAGAGACATGAGGAAGTAGGGACCCTGAATGCAGATGACTCTTTCAAGATTGATCATGAAGAAAAGAACAGAGATAAAAGCAGACACAGCAGAAAGAGAATGAAAGCAGGTTAGATGTGGGATGGGCAGCCTTCAGTATATTGGTGGCCAGTATACTGGGGTCTAATATGATCTTGTGTGTCATAAAACAGTTGACCTTATGAAATTTGTGTCCACAGACTCAATCAGAAGGACACAGGATTAAAAAGACCACAATACTGAGAGAATAAAAATGAGAGATTGTCACAATGAGATGTGTCCACTCAGGGGAAGTACACGATACACACAGTGAACAAACAACTACGATTAAAAAATCTATACATTTAGCACAGTTTCAGAAATATTATAATTTTTTAGGTAAAAGGGCAAGTAGCATTCTTAATAGAGTTAGAAGGTGATAAGGAACATAACCCAATCTGTACCATTCACTGTGTCAACAATGTTATAAAATCATAGGATTGAGACAATTTTATCTAAAGGAATAAAAAGTTACCTTAAAAATACATATTTTCAGCCTTACAGCTTTGAACTCTAATTAAAGTGAAGTCAACTTTGTATTAAGGACATGCATGCTTACTTATTCTAAATATTCCTTATTTGCTTTACTTTCATTTTCTCTTAGTGTATGAACACTGTCAGTATTGAACTCTGGAAACCACTGGAAAGTCAGGATAAATGAGCTTTATATTACAACAAAATGGGTTATATGTCTCTTCATTTAGAGTTACTTGCTGATCTCAATTTAATGAGGTTTTAGGCAGAATTATCAAAATAGTGGCCAATATTCTGAAATGTCTCTTACAGGGGTCTGTGCCACCATTAAGAGCAGTGTGTGTTTAGTTGCCTTTATGGTACAGTGTGTGTCAAGCCAACAAGTCCTAGCAAATAGAGGGGTAAATTAAACTTCGGCAAGCAGTTTCTCAGTTACAATAAATCTTCAGTTCAAGAATTATAGCTTAACACCAATTCTTTCTGTAAAAAGTATTGGAACTCCTGAGAGGTGCTCAACTTCCAATTAGTTATCTGCACAAGGTAACGAGAATAGTTTTTCCCTGGGTCACTGGAGAGCAAGTTTTCAAGTTGCAATGTGTAGAAAAGTCCCAAGTCCAATCAGCCGCTCAGGCACTGATCAGTGGCTCTTCTTTGATCTAAGGTGTGTATGTGAATGTGTGTATCAGTGTAACTTGTCTTTGTAGAGGCCCTTGCTTCTGCCTCACAGATGTCCTATGCTTCAATTCATGACTACTCGACTCCCGGGTTAGTAAGTCATGATCCCAGAATGTTAGTGATTATCCAACCGCTTTTCAACTGAACAACCAGGGCTCACTGGGCCAAAGTGTGAGGCCTACCGGACTCTTTGGTTAACACAGAGCCTAGAAGAGCATCAGACAGACTATTGAAATATGGTATCATCACTTTAGTGCCTCTTTTTGCAATTTACTAAATTTGTAATTTTATTATGATGGGAACCAAAGTCTATGAGAACACCTTAGCTATTTTGTGATTGACTTATAGATATTTCCCCTGGCTGGCTTAATAGCTGGGAATATCCTCCATGTAAATGTGAATCATTCACCCCATTCTCAGAAATGTGCAAAAGTAAGAACCACAGAGGCCCTTTTTGGTGACTCTGTACGTGTACACTAAACCTTTACAAGGGCAGCACCCTGACATCTGAAATCAACCTCTTAGCTAATTCAGAAAGATAACCCATCTCCTCATGGCCAAAACAGGTCCACTTAAGTTAACAGTATTTGGTGGTGTCACTTGGGCAGGGAAAAATCACACCTGCCATACCACAAAATCAACAGGGGAGCTGTCTTGATCAAGTGGAGCTTACAGGAATTCCAGCCTATTTCTAGCAAGAGCACCATGGTGCAACAATTATGTTTATGGTACTGAAGGAAAAAGTAGCAAAGAGGAGGAGAGATATCAAGCATATAAAGAATGTTTTTTAAAGGGGGAGAATTTAGTTAGCAAGCAGGACCAAAGAAAAAGAGATAAGATTGGATAACGCAATGTTTATGCATTATTTAATATGAGATCCAACTAAATTCCAACAATAAAAAAATCTCCGTGAAGTGTGGAGATTTTATCCACAGAATAAGATAGATTATTCGTCACTGCTGCAAAGCAAATATAATAAGGGCAACAGGAAAATTTTCAGCAGACAGATTCTTAAGTAAACAAGGGCAAAAGACCAGTGATTATTACACCTTTTAAACTTTTATATTGTCTAAATTGCATTATCTGTGGATGGCAAGGGAGTTACATGTGTAGTCCTTTACAATTGCTTTGAGCAATTATTGCTTGTTAGACTCTAATTTCCTTTTTCTCCCTAGGAATAACTGGCTTAACTGCCTAGTTGTCCAAACTTAGCACCACTTACACGGCTACCAGTGATCCTCCTCCACTTCCTCCCTACTCTTTACTGAGCCCCTGCTAAAGTGCCAGGTACTCTGACAGGCACTTTGTGTTTTTATCTCAAATCTCTCCTGTAAGCCGGTAAGTGTTATTTTTAATAACAGTGTTATAAAATCATAGGATTGAGACAATTTAAAGGAATAAAAATTTACCTTAAAAATGCATATTTTCAGCCTTACAGCTTTGAACTCTAATTAAAGTGAAGTCAACTTTGTATTAAGGATGTGCATGCTTACTTATTCTAAATATTCCTTATTTGCTTTACGTTCATTTTCTCTTAGTGTATGAACCCTGTCAGTATTGAACTCTGGAAACCTGTGGAAAGTCAGGATAAATGAGCTTTATATTACATCAAAATGGGTTATATGTCTCTTCATTTAGAGTTACTTGCTGATCTTAATTTAATGAGGTTTTAGGCAGATTATTAAAATACTGGCCAATATTCTGAAATGTCTCTTACAGGTGTCTGTGCCACCATTATGAGCAGTGTGGGTTTAGCTGGCTTTGTGGTACAGTGTTTGTCAAGCCAACAAGTCCTAACAAATAGAGGGGTAAATTAAACTTCCGCAAGCAGTTTTAATCATATTTTCAGCAAATTCCAACTTACGTTTCCCGTGTTTACTGTATGTTCATGTGTATCACAGCTCTGAGGCTCTAGCTCTTTTTGGGTCCTAAAGTTATGCCTTGTTTAAACAAGTGGCTCTGGTTTCATCATGAAACAATTTAAAAAATAATGAACACTGGGATTTCCTAAATGAAAAAGCTTGCCACCAACTAACTGGGCGAAAGGTATCAATAAGATGCTCCCATTTTGACAAAATGCTTAAATATTGGGCATATATGAATTTAAACTCAGGCTTTTAAGAGAGGATTAGATAATGTGAAAATTATACACAGGAACTTGCAAAAAACTTTTAAACAGCATTAAAAAAAAAAAAGCTACTCCAATCCCAACATATGTTTTTACACAAATCTGCATGCTCCAATTAATCTGCCGAACTGCTGGTGTGCGGCTGGGACCGCCTTAATCATCTTTGTAAGCACAATGTACAATTTGTGGTCTGATTTCTAGCAAGAAAAGTGCACTTAATTTTGGCTCTCCCCACACTTAAACCTATTTTAGAAAATTAGAATTTAACCATAGCTTTACAGAGTCTTAAAAATAAAAACTGTATGCAGCTGCTGACAGGTCATTGATGTTGTAATACTCTGAGTACCCGAGGAGAGATTTTATAGTATTATCCCAATGAATGGCATAAAAGAGACTTGGATTTTAAAAATTCATCTCCACTTGTCAAACATTATTAGGAGAGGAGGGAAAAATGAAGATTTCTTGGGATGATCTGACACAATGGCATGTTTTTCCAGTCCACCATGTCTGGCTGGCAGAACTCTTTTCTTCTGTAGTGTAATAAACAATTGTTAGTACAATGCTACGTTTGGAACAAAGCAAGTTTTATCTTCTTTTTTAAGCCCTTGGCTCAAGACAACAGTCTTATAGGAAATGGCTATTGTGTTTAGTGTTATCTGATGATGAAACGTCATCTGACTAAAATATTTCTATAATAAATTATTTCATTCAATAAAGCCATCAATAGTTTGGTCAGCTTAAAAATGTAATTTGCATTATAATACATTCAGAAATCCCTCATGAAAACACCTTCTGTATGCATTAGTTCATATCTACACACACACAAGTGCGCTTGCTCGTAAGCTCTTTCTCTTTCTCTTGTGGTTTAAAAGAGTTGCTTGCAACTTGAACTTGTCATAAAAATTCAAAATCTGAAAATGCCATCACCATTTTGCAGCTTAGTATAGAATCATTTTAAAGCAGGAACAAAAATGCTAAATTATTAGTTAATTTAGAGAGTGATGATTTACTAGGAGTAAACTGGCAGTATTAAAATGCGGTTTTGCCTCATTTTCTTGTAAAATGTGAATGGCTGTGGCATCATCACATTTTTGATCATCTAATGGAATAAACCCCCACCTTTTGGGAGCAGCCACATCTCCTCCTTGTCGTTTGTTTTTGCCACATAACTTTGTTATAGTTGTGTTTACCATTTAACAATAATTTAGTTTATAAATTATGAGAAATGAGAATTACTTTTATTGGGGGAATTTTTCAATATTCATTAAGATAACTAGAGACACTCTTGAAAAGTCAAGGCTGCTAATTATCAGCTTCATGGAAAAAATACGAGGATCCTATTTCTTAATTAGTCTGTTTACAATCCATGGCTACTTCTGGGAGTGGAGTCCCTGTTGAAGGAAAAACTGTGTATACTGGCCAATATCCTTCTAATACAGACTTGAAATATTTTCCTCTAAGGAGAAAACCTTTTGAGGAAACAAAATGTCCCTCCTGCTTCTGAGATTGGTGAGGACAGGGGCTGGATCTATGTGTCTCTGTTCCTAGGGCCAAGCACAGGGCCTGACCCACCTTTGGGTGCCCAATAAATACTTGTGAATGAATGAAGAAGTGAGGGAGTAACTGAGATCATTGAGCTTATGATAATCCATAACTCTGGTCCAACAGACCAGTATTCCTAATCTCACTGCGGCATCATGGCTCCTGGCCTCTGTGCCATAGTCTTGAATTTCGTGCATGTACTCTAGCTTCTATCTGAACCTTTATGGGACTGAAAAGGATATCTGTGCTAAATCTCTTATTACTGTTTTATTTTCAAAAGAGCAAGAACATGTTTCAGTCATTTGGAAAGGAATGGACTCAAGATGCAGAATGGACACCTATTGTTTCTTTGGATGTGCATACCATGAATTAGTTAGTTCAATGTAGGAAAAGCACGGGAAAAAGAATCTGAAATCCCAGGCTCCAAGTGTGACCCTGACTGTAATTGGCTGTGTGACCTTGGATAAACTGCAGAGACTCTCAGGCCCTTTTTCCTCATCTGTAAATGAAAAGGCCGTAATCTCAGATAATGCCTAAGGTCTTGCTTAGCCCTAATATCTTTAAATTTTATTACTATTCTTATTTCTACAAGCAAATATGAGTACTAGAATGTGATTTTTTTAAGTAGTCTAAAAATGGCATAGCTGCCCTCTCAAAAAGAACAACTTGAACTCCCAGTTGTAACTTACATGTAAGCCCAATGTAACACATGCATTCATTAGATTATTCTTTTGTATTACCATCTATGGTGCTAAATTCCACATGTGAGGTACATGAGGAATTTGTTTATTTATCTTGTAATTATTTAACAATCTTTCCTGTCAAGCTAAATCTAGAGTTACATACTCATTGGTGATATCCTGGACTTTGGGGCGTCCTTGGACCTTTTGAAACGGTATGCAAAATGTTGCATATGTGGAAAGCTATGCAGGGAGAAAGTTCATAGGTATAATTAATATTGAATTCAAAATTTTAGAAACCTCAGCCTAAATCATGGTCTGTCATTTCTTGCTATGAAATGTCCTTGGAGTTGGACGTGTGTTGGATTCCTAGCTCGGCCACTTACTAGTTCTCTGACCTTGAGCAGGCCTCAGTGTTCTTATAAGTAAAATAGAAACAATAGTATCTACTCTATTGCACAGTTATTAGAATTAATAAGAGATACACATAGAATTAATAATTATAAAATCACTGGTCCAGAATCCATCTCATGACAAGTACTTAATATGCAACAAATACACTTTGCTTTTTGTTTTAGTAAATGAGGTTACCTAACTCTTCAAGGTTTTTCCACTGCAGATAGTCAAATCAACCTTTGGGAAAGATTCCTTTTCAAAAGCTTTCAAGAGAAGGTGGGGTGGAGGTGTGTGTCTAAATATGGTAGTCTATAAAGGAATCCACCTGCCTAATAGGATTCTATCTATACGAGTTAATTCAATTATAGTACAATGGATGGCAGCCATTGGTTAAAACATCAATTTAAAACAATTTAAAATGTTTGATAGTTTTGGTTTACACATGTCTTATTACAGGTAGGTTTCCTGACTCAGCTTGGTGAGCCAATGAGATTTTCTGATCCAAGCATTTATTGGCATAAAGGCATGAAGACTCAGTAAAAGGGCTGAGGTCCCTTCCAGTTCTGAGACTGCCATTCTCTTTTCCTGAATGAGGAACTGAAAAATCTGCTTTAAATGGCTCTGAAATCTACTTTAATATCTAAATAGTCTCAGGTCCCAAAAAGGCACTAGTGTTCCCAATATCTTTATACACCATACAACGGGTGCTTCAGTGCACAGGAAATTGAGACTCACTCTCCATTTGGAATCATTCTAAACGTAAATGACTATGGGAGTTCTAGATTGAAGAGAGAAAACTCATTTGAACTTTAGAAGAAGGGAGGGAGGGAAATGCCACTGCTACTCAGTATGACCACATCATAAACGAGACTGGCTACCACACCCCACTCAGAAAAGCAGTCTGTTTCATAGGACCATCTTCAGAAGACTATATTCACACTACTTGATGTACCAACTTAGTTGGGTGGTATCTTCAACTTTCAGAGCATCCTTCCTCTAAAAAACAAAACAAAAAATCTTTGGAAAAGAAACTGCAATTTTGTAGTCTCTGAGGCCCAGAGAAGTCTGGTAACCTGGTCAGCTAATAAGTGCAGGTGCTAAGATCTGAACTCAGGTCCAACAGACTCCAGAATTACTGATTCTTTCCGTCACCCATGTGGTTCCCAAAACACGAATGGAGAATGCCAAGCAGTTGCATAGGAATTGGCTGAGGAGCAAGATAGAACACATATTCCTAGATTTAGACACAATCTGAGTAAGGTGGTCTGGGGCAGGCTCAGGAATCTACATTTTGAACAGCTGTCTCCATTAAATCTGATATGCAGTCTGACTTGGGAACCACTGAAATCTGTCTTTGGGCTATAGTCTCCAGGAAAAGTTTTCTGTAGGGAGCGAGATTTGAACACCAAAGGAAAAAAATGAACTTAGGTGGAGGCTGGGTTGTGAGTTGATCTTTACTGAAGGAAGCTGCCATGTTTGTAAGAGAATAAGAAAACTGTGCGAGCTAGAGCAGAGGGTCTGTGAAGGAGGAGTAAGGCTGGAGGTGCATCTAAAAATTATATAGCGAATAGATTCATTGTTTAGGGAACTCTAATTGTTTGGTAGTGGTTTCCTTGAAGCCCCGTGTTGAGAAGGATTTTAATGCAGGGAGTGGTGGCATACAGCCACATAGCACACATGCCTAATTTAAATACAAAACTTTATTTTAAAATGACAACATATGGTGTATTTTGTAGTCCATCAAGACTGGCTTTGTGTAAATGAATATATGATTAAAAATAAGACAAATAGTAAAATTTAATTATCTCCCCCCAGTCTTACTCGGCTCCTACAATCCTGTTTTCAATTATAGCTTCATGACTTTTACCTGAATTCCTCAAGTGCAAATACTTTCTTTTACAATTTATTTCCATCATATCTTTAGTGCAATGCAGAAAAGGAATCTTAAATATTTATTTCAGCATTTTATATTTTTATTGGTTTTGTAAACCACTGAAATTGTAGGGTGTGCTTAGAGTGAGTTGATTCCATATGCAGTAAATCAACTGGAGGACAGACGACAGTGTACACCATTTACAAAGTGAATCACTATAGCTAAAAATACAACTTTCTCCCCTCCCACCCCTAAAACCTGCCAACATCCAAACAACTACAAAATTGCATGCTAGAGAGATGTGCACTATATGCCAAGATAAATACATACAAATTAAACTGGAAAACCTCAAGGTGTTATTGATTAATTCTAAGAAACATTTCAAAATCAAGTCATATAGAGACTATTTTCTGGGATAATTGCAAGGAGAGATGTAAAACAATTGCAGAGGATAGGAATGTGGAAGGGAGCCTTATTAAAATACTTTAGATTAAAGGCAAAACAGAAGAAAAAGTTTGTAGGTAGCAGAGGGTAAAATGATAAGTACCCATAAAAAGGAGTTTCAGATTTAATTAAATAGCACTAGGAACACAGACCCTCTACTTTCCTCCACTTTCTCGGGCTGCCTTCCAGGCTGATCCCATGTCACTCTCATCCTTTCCTGACGTGTGTCCTCCCAATCTGAGGCATCTGTGGGGGTCAGTAGCTTCAGGACTTCCTAACAGCAGTGCGTGAGAGGCAGAAAAGACCTGACGGTGACAAAGCCAACAACCCTAAAAACAGAGGTCTTATACTCAGTCTAAGCCAGGCCCGTGGTAACTTGGTATCTGATATTCAGGATTACATTCCTGAGCACGCTGAACATTGCATTCTCTTCACAAGGGGGAGAAACATCCTAAAATCAAGCAAGTGAAGACCCAGAAGGGATCACCCAAGCATTTCAGAGGCTACCAATTCCAGCAGAATTAACTAGGTCATCAGATATATCTTCCAATTGCCTTTGAAGACTTGAGATGCTGGGTACACAGGATCATGCCTATAATCCCAGCACTTTGGGAGGCCGAGGCGGGCAGATGGTTTGAGCCCAGGAGTTCGAGACCAGCCTGTGCAACATGGCAGAACCCCATCTCTACAAACAATACACAAATTAGCCAGGCATGGTGTTGCTCACCTGTAGTCTCAGCTAATTGGGAGGCTGAGGTGGGAGGATTGCTTGAGCCTGGGAGGCGGAGGTTGCAGTGAGACGAGACTGGGCCACTGCCCTAGTGAAAGAGTGACATCTTGTCTCAAAAAATAAAAATATAAATAGAAACCTTGAGATGCAAACTTGATGTCTAAAACAGAGTCTGGTGTACAGTAGGGGCTCAATAAATGTCTTCTGAATGTTGATTAGATGTCCAAATGGTTGACTGTGTGTGGCCTTGACAGCTAGAATGTTGGCAACCTTTAAATATAAAATAAGTTTCTGAAAAACAGGGAGAGGGAGGGAATGGACAATGGACCTTTTTTTTTTTTTTTCAGATCTAAAAACCAACAAAGCGTAACTCTAAAAGGGTTTGTCCAACATAAGGTGACCTGAAATGAGCAAGTGAGTTTGGTAGGGTGTGTGGGTGCAGAGATTTACTTAGAAACTGAGGAAATTATTAAAACAATTTAAGCTCAAGTATTTCTTTTTTTCTCCCGTCACTAATTAGCCACAACGTTGAAAACATTTTCATTCTATTCACACTCTGGGCTCAGTAAATATTGCTGATGGACCTATTAAATACACATCCAGTAAAGTAAGCACTATTAAAAAATGTGCCCATCAACAACCAAGATAATGGTAATCCCTACTGATAAGTATTTTTTTCCCCAGTAAATATCAAATTCAGACTAACCTTTAAAATTATATAACCTTAAGATCAGAAGTGTGGCATCAAAAATATTGGGACAAAAAGATGAAAACAGCGCTTCATGCAGCAGTTTTTGAAATTCAAAGTTTATGATATAATAGGAAATTTAAAAATTATTTCCAAATGAAAGCGAATTGGCAAAACAACCTCATGTTTTAGAAAACGTTCAAAATGGCTCTAAGATTTAGATTTCATTTAGGTAAGGAAAAAAAAGAGATCACTATGTTGGGCGACTGGCAACCACTTTTACTATAATTTAAATGAACTCATTTTATCTTTCTTTTACTCAGGGAAATAATTATTTCTACCAAAGCTCTTTGCTGCCTTTTCCTCCTTTAAACCTGCATTCTAGGCCAGGATCCTATAAATGTCACAGAAAATGAGTTTACATAACTGAACAAGCATACTGCAGAAACAATATAATGACAGAAAACACCATCCTTTTAGCACGAAGAATAATTTTATTTTGAAGGCTACAGCCTGTGCATGATTACCAAGAAGAATATTTTTTAGCTCTATGTGACTTGGCACTGGCATAGAACAAGGATTCTGATGCAGAACTGGGAAAGTAGAAAGTTAGTTTCAAGAGGCCAGGGAGTGTTCTCTCCACCTGATCAACACGGTAGGTGCTCAGTGAGGAACTAGAAGATAAATGAATGAAGAGAGTTCAGGTGTTCATTGGTGGTGAATTCAGACCATTCCCCATACCATGATTCTATCACCACCATGTATGTTCCCTGAATATTCTCTCCAATACAGATTTAGGAGGACACAGATGTCCCTGACATATCCTAAATCTGTGAGGTAAGACTGCCCAGCAGTGAAAGACTTGATCAAAGGCTCATCAGAAGAATGTGAATGGGTCGTACTTGAAAAACCTACTGTAAAACTGTATTATTCAATTTGTCTTGTTAAAAGTTTAGTCGTTACTTCCTAGAAAATTAAACCACATATTTGAAAAAATTAAGTGATGTTTCAAAGAAATATTTAAGCCAAATACTTGGGAGAATAAAAAGAAATCAAGTTTCTAAAAGCAGCTTGTTACTCCTTCCACAGATGGATTTTCATGATATATTAATCGATTACTAGAATAGTTCTAATCTACTAAATCTAAATGAATGAATACATACATACGTACATACATATATACAGTAAGTAAATCCAGGTAGAAACCAAAGAAAAATTCTAAGCTCTTAAGGAAAAAAATGAACATAATGTAAAATTACGAAGTAGGTTTCTATAAATATCGAAATATCATATTTATACATTTAGAAAACAGATAAAACGCTTGTCAGGGTATACATCTTGCATATTGTCCCTGTGTAAATCTGGTAATAGATGAAATTAGAAAAAGCTGCATGTTATACTTCATTGCTATTGGATCAAGACTTTGGCAGAGTAACATTCACCTTTTTGTTTTAAAATAAAGGTACATCAAGACTCTTGAGTTGAAAGGTTAAGTGTGCTCTCTGTGTAGTTGATAAATGTAGTCCTAATCTAATCAGGGCCTGTCATAGGCACTGCTGCCTGACCCAGGCTTCTGGTTTCCACACGGGTAAGATCTAACCAAGATGTAGACTCTAGGCCTCTGACCTCCTGGAGACCTTGTCCGTGCCAGCCGAGAATTCTGGTTAACAGCCGGGGAACTCATAGTTCAAATCAGGAACATGTGCACTTTGCTAATACAACACATGGCTTTGAAATTAAAATGCAACATGATCGAGTGCTTCGGGATATTTTAACAACTAGACGAGAGATTACAGCTAGATAAAACTGGGCTTTCAGGTCACTTTTGCTCATTCATGTTTCTTCCCGTTTCTTTGGACTAGACAAATTTAATTTCATTGTATTTCTTAAGAATTTGCTAGAAAAACAAAAGTTTGGTAAGTTATTTCATGGCTGATTGATCTCAGGGAAATGGGGATGTTGTAAGGTTTCTCTGCGACATGTGTCACCTATTAGATAGTTAGCTTTTTCTATTTCCAACTGAGCCAAACCAAATTAATTAGAAAGTGGTTTGAATTACAAGCTAAATACAATAAAAAGTAATAAAAACAGAAAATGACATTTATGTCATCAATAATATTCCTGAGGTAATTCAGCATTGATTTTTTTTCTTGCTTTCTATGATAAAGAGCTTTACAAGTTGTCAAGCTGACAGTTTAACCCCCACTTGCTACAGTCAACAACTGCAGGCGTCAAGAGCACAAATTTAATAATGCGACAGATTTATTTTCTTTTTGTATCTCACTTTGTTTCTCCTGGAGACCAGTCCTAGGAGTGTAAGATGGCCTGAATAACCTACTGTGCACCTGAGGAAGTCTACTAATCACACGGTCATATGTTTGACTTGTAAGAGTCAAATCTGCAACTGTTCTACCAACAAAACTCAAGTCAAAGCAGAATCAGATTCAGAAGAAAAAGAGGAAAACTACCAACAGCACATTGGGATTTTCTTTTTAAATAAGGAAAAAATGTGAATTATGATAACCTTTGCAAAGTCTTCCTACCCTTCAGAGAAAAACTTTTTTTTTTTTGCTAAATGAAAAGTTAAATTCTTGGTTCAATTTATTTTAGACTGTCCTAGGTCCGTGAAAATGAACGTTTTGAATTACTTTTAAAATTTTAGTATAGGAAAAACACATGGTACAGACGTCCCCTCCAAATAGCTCAACTTATCAATTGGGGGAAAAAAACAACCAGAGTAGGAATAGGTCGTGCTTATTTTGTTTAGATGAATTTCCAGTTTGTTAACCCTTGGAGAGTATTGGAGGAGGACTAGTGACCCTTCATCTAAGTTTAAATCCTGTCTCTAGTAACCTAAGGGGCTATGATTGTGTCTCCCCTCATGCATGCGCGCGCGCGCACACACACACACACACACACACACACACACCCCTGTCAGTTACTTGCCGGCAGGTGCCTGGGGGTGTGGGAAGGCGGCCCTAAACTCAGGTCCCTGAGAAGACTCTTCTCTGACTCCCAGTACTGCACAGTAGCCATCTGCAGAAACCACAAGAAATCTCTTCGCAGTTCAACTTCAGGAGGACATTCCATGCCAAACTATGCTTCTGGTGTGCAGGAAGTAGCTTTCAGAGGTGTCAAGGACTGGAGACATTTGCCAAGTGGCACAGATAACTCCTTGTCAGAGTTCTTAGCCTCAGAATAGCAGCTGACATTACAGGAGCACCTTTAAACACCCTGAAGGGTTTATCCCTAGCCTGACAAGTTGAAAGGTCTTTTCAGAAAATTCACTTCCTACCACTTTCCCAGTACCTCTCACCCAACCTACACTATAATAATATCTAGCCATATAGAGTCAGATACAGTTCTTTGAATGTGCCAGGTTCTTTAGCATTTCTATGCTTTGGTTTTTGTTTTTGTTTTGCTTTACTTGTTCTGCTTCTGCCTGGAATTATTTCATCCCATACTTTAAGGCTGAGTTGAGTGATCTTCTCTGGGTAGCCTTAGAATGCCTCAGCCATTTATGTCAGAATGAAAAGAGCCTGTACCCCAGATCTAGACCTGTGCTGTCCAATACAGTAGCCACTAGCCACGTGTAATATTAAAATCAAAATAAAAAATAACTAATACAATTACAATTTCAGTTTCTCAGTTATACTAGCCACATTTCCAGTGTTGAATGGCAATATAAGGCTAGTGATTATGGTATTAGACAGTACAGATATAAACCATTTCCATTATTGCAGAATGTTCTGTTGAACAGCACAGATCTAGAGAATAAGGGATGGATGTACTGCCCCATCCACCATGGGACCAATAGCCCTAGATCCTGAAAATCCCTCAGAGACAAGTGCCATTGGCAAGAGTGGAGAGAAATCTCAGTTTTCAGTCACTGTCTGAGCCCAGATCACTAGACCCATATAGCTATTAGGGTAAGAAAAACTGAACACCAAAGGCACACCTGGGATATTTTTTTCCTGAACCTCCCCCCACCCCCCACAAACAGGATGAAGAATGAGGGGCTTCTTGATTCTAAAAGTCTGCCTGAACACTAGCAGATGAAATATGCATGTAACTACAATGCAGGAGAGGGAGGAGAGAACAAAGCATTACTGTTACTACTATAGTGCTAATACTACTAGTTTCTTGCAACAGAATCTATTTGCGTTATACAGGTTTTTCTTTCCTCTCTTTAGGAATCAATCCACTCTCTATAACAATATATTTAAATAACTGATTTCCTCTGTTAACACAATTCTTTTGGAATTTGGAGATACAGCTCAACAGATCCTATCAGAGCATGGTGCTCCCAGGATTTAGGGAGAAGACTGGAAAAGGTCACCCTCTGACAGCAAAACTAGAGAAATCAATGCACCATAGATTGCTGTATTTCCTCAGTATGTATCTATCAGGGCCTCACCATTCCAGGCTTTGTGCACAGCAATGGGAAGCAAGACTGAGTTGGTCCCTGCTGAGATGAACATCATTGCCTGCCAGCATAGTCAAACCAAAAGTGGTTAGAAAATGGACTGCCCTGAGGCTGGGCTATTACCCAAGACCAGAGGAGGTCCTTTGGGAATTTAATATATAAAGAAGCTATCATAATCCTTTACCTGAAGCCTTTAGGCCAGATGGCTTCAAGAACTAAATTTATCAGATTTAGAAATTTATAAATATTGTACATTATGTTATACCCAGAGTGGGGAACAAAGCAGCACCATGCAATCAAATGTATTCATATATCCAAAGAAAAACATATGACGATTTGCGCCAAGTAAAGTAAGTAAAGCCTTCAACTAACTTTACATGAGTTCTGGTCAGGTTTTATTGCTAAATATGTTTTGACACCACCTTACTAAAAAAAAAATACAGTTTTCATAGCTTTTTGGGATTTCAGAATTGTGGATAAGGGACAGTACACTCTACTTGAAGATATGATGTGTTGGCAATAGGGTAACTGTTAACATAATATCTAAGAAAAGAAGAACCAAAGAGGATCCTCACTTCTGTCCCTGAAACAAATGCTTCTGGTCTGTTGACAGATTTCTTTTAACAGCATGAATGCACAGGACTACAGAATTCAGTCAGTTGCTGTGAGTTTGGTTTGTGTGAGTCTATCTTCTTTTTTTTTTTTTTTTGAGACTGAGTCTCACACTGTCACCCAGGCTGGAGTGCAATGGCGCCATCTCTGCTCACTGCAACCTCCGCCTCCCTGGTTCAAGCAATTCTCCTGCCTCAGCCTCCTGAGTAGCTGGATCACAGGCACCCACCACCGTGCCCAGCTAATTTTTTGTATTTTTAGTAGAGACGGGGTTTCACTATGTTGGCCAGGCTGGTCTCGAACTCCTGATCTCGTGATTTGCCTGCTTTGGCCTCCCAAAGTGCTGGGATTACAGGCGGGAGCCACTGTCTTCTTTCACCTGCCTGATTCTTGTGAATGGATAAAATAGAAGGCTGAAGCCAGATGCTGGTCTACAGAGACCTGGCCATGGCACTGCTAACTTGAAGCGTGGTTGAAAGCAACCAGTGAGCCTCCTTCTAGAGCTATGGTTTCCAGCCCTGGCTGTGCACCACAATTGGCTGGGAAGCTTTACACATCGATGCCCAGGCCACACAAATCAGAATCCCTAAGGGTAGGACCAGCTATCAGTGTGCCTGTGTATGTATTATTATTATTACTTTACTTTTTCTTTTTTTGTTGTTTTTTATTTTTTATTATACTTTAAGTCCTGGGATACATGTGCAGAATGTGCAGGTTTGTTACATAGGTATACATGTGCCATGGTGGTTTGCTGCACCCATCAACCCGTCATCTACATTAGGTATTTCTCCTAATGCTATCCCTTCCCTAGCCCTCCACCCTTGGGGTATACAATATATACAATAAGAAATATAAAATATAAAAATCTTAAGTAACCATTCCTCAGAATGAGATACAGAATGGCCTGGGTTTCCTCCAGTCCCTTTCCAGTTCTTATTTATCCTCTCTTCCTCCCCTGAGGCACTCCTATGTCCTGTGACTTCTCATCACTATCCAGCAGTCTTAAGCACCAGTATTTTGTAATATTCATTCTCAAACTGAGCTGTTCTTTGGCATCACCTAGAGTTTTAATAAGGACTGGCACTAGGTTCACCCCAGAGATGCTCATTCACATAATGTGGCATCTCGCTGGGCAGCAGCATTTTTATAGCTACCAGGTGACTCTAATGTGCAGCAGTTTGGGAGCCACTGCTCTAGTAACTTGAACATTCTTAGCTGAAACAGATAGATCTCCTAGAGGCCAAACACATAAAATCATCCAGAGTAATCAGAAAGAGGCTCGGCGTGGTGGCTCACGCCTGTAATCCCAGCACTTTGGGAGGCTGAGGTGGGCGGATCACTTGAGGTCAGGAGTTTGAGACCGCCTGGCCAACATGGTGAAACCCTGTCTCTAACAAAAAACACAAAAATTAGCTGGGTGTGGTGGTGTGTGCCTGTAGTCCCAGCTCCTTGGGAGGCTGAGGTGGGGGGATTGCTTGAACTCGGGAGGGAGAGGTTGCAGTGAGTGGAGATTGTGCCATTGCACTCCAGCCTAGGTGACGGAGTGAGACCCTATCTCCAATAATAATAATAATAATAATAATCATCATCATCATCAGAAAGAGATTGTGTTTTTTAAGAAGTTAAGATTGAATTCTCCCTCTCCCCTCTCCTTTTCTCTCTCTCCCTCCCTCCTTCCTTTGTATTCTCCCTTTCCCCTTTTTTTTTGCTTTCCTCCCTCCCTCCCTCTTTCGCTCCCTCCCCTTTTTTTCCTGATCAAGCCACAGTTGCTACTACAGATGTCAGAAGTGGCTCAAATTCCATTTATTATAAAGTCCCTTATTTTTCTCCCTTCCTTTTCATTTCCCTTTCAGGAAGAAATAATGTTTTTTAAAAAGAATACACAGGAAAAAATGAGAGAGAGAGAGAGAGAGAAAGGGAGAAAGGAGAGAAATAGAAAAGGAAAATGAAGCAAGCTGAGTGGGGAAGAAAAACAAGGCTGAAAGGGGAGAAATAATCAAGGGAAAAGAGATGGGGGAGAGAAAAGAAAATGGGTTATGTCTTGACATCGTCCATTTGACCCTGTAGGTTCATTTCATAAGGGCCCAATAGAGCAAAAAGAGCTTTTTAAAATTGCCGGTGGGTACCCTGCTGTATCAGCTGACTGTAACATCATTTATCGCACAGGTTCTTAGACTTTAGAGCAAACACCTTCCCCCAGGGCTCGTTGCGTTTTTGGCAGGCAGCTAAGCATTTTAGGTTGAGAGCTGGGTTTCTAAGGCTGACTGCTTGGCCCAACCATGAAAGAATAGGAAAGAATGGTGTCACCTTGAGGAAGGTACTTAATAAACCTTTTTCAGCTTCACGTTTCATTGTCAGTAGAATGGAGTTAACAGTACCTACCTGTGATGGTTAAATTTTATGCATTAACTTAGGCTAGGCTATGGTGCCCAGTTATTTAACCAAATGCTAATCCAGATGTTGCTGTGAAGGTATTTTGCAGATGCGATTAACATCCATAATCAATTTCAGTAAAGCAAAGTACCCTCTGTAACGTGGGTGGGGTTCATCCAACGGTTGAAGGCCTTGAAGAGCAAAATCTGAGGTTTCCCAGAAAAGAAGGAATTCTGCCTCAGGACTTTAACACAGAAATCCTGCTTGAGTTTCTAGGCGGCTGGCCTGCCCTACAGATTTAGGACTCAGGAACATATTAGCAATTCCTGCCTGAGTTTCCAGTCTGCCGGCCTATCCTGTGAATTTCAGAGCTGGCAACCCCCACAATCACATGAGTCAGTTCCTTAAAATAAATCTCTCAATATATGTACACATATGTCCAATTGGTTTGTTTCTCTGGAGAACCCTGACTGATATAAACTACCTCTGGGGTAATAAATGTAATGCGCTAACCAAAGGCATATTCAATGTTAGCTACATATTTTAGGGTGTGTGGGGCTTATAATATTAATCTGCCTTTATCAGAAGGCCCAGGGATGATTCTTAACTCTGCACTTGAATATAATCTCTTATCTCTCCACAACCTTTTGCAATTTTTTTTTATAACAGATCTCAGGCCAGTTCTCTCTACATTTCATGATAGCCCCATAACATAATTAGGGTACAAATGACAACTGGGTCTTTAGAGTGCACAGCTGAATTTAAAGGTCCTCCTAGGAAACTCCTTTCTTTCAGACTCTGAGGCCTTTCTCCTTGGCTCCTTCAGCTACCTTCATTCTTTTACTCTTCTTTGCTTTTTCCTGCTTCCCCAGCCAAAGCCTGGATTCCACTTGATTTGCTTCGCCAGAGCCTGGCTACCTCCTCCATGGAAGTCAACAGGGCAGCAGCTCCAGTTCCACCCCACTCTGACCACCAGTTGAGGCCACTAACAAATATTCTCGCAGCAGTTTACAGCAAACCCCTTTGTAATGCAAGGATGGGGATCTGCGTAAAGGCAGCCTGATACACCTCAGATTTGGCTTCCCAAATGAAACTTCTTCTTTTCTGGCTTGCAGAAAAGCTGGCCAGAGGCGAGAAGTTGAAGGGGAAAAGCTACCTTTGGGAACAGGGAGAGCACTCCAGCAGCTACAGTCTAGTTCAAATTTTCCCACAAATAGTTTGGAAAGAAGGCCAGCTGAGTGGAAGGATCTGTCTGTGCATCAAGTGTTGGCACTGGATTATTTAGCCCAACTCTCTTATTCATCAAACTAAGACAGTGAGGCCCAGAGAAGAGGTCTGATTGAGGCAGTAGCTAAACGGATCCTAGGACTTGGACCAAAGGTCAGGCCCCTCCATGCAGAGTCCAGGGCTTTCTTCCACAATGCCATGTGGCCTTTAACAGCTCAGGTGGAGTCACAGGGTTTAAAGATTACATCTCCTTTATCATGAAACTAATACCAATCATGCAGGCCAACACTGTCTGGCTTCCTCTGGCTGTCCGTGAAATCTATAAGCCTCTGGATGCAGGGGTCCTGGGGGTGGGAGGCAGTTAAGGGCAGGTAACAGGAGCTGAACCACAGACTAGTATTTGCAATGAGCACAATATATGAGGGGTCAGAAACAGCCCTCTCTTCCTTAGGTGGTTTCCTATGAAGAAACTCAATCAATAATTCCAATTTCTCAGGGCTTCCAAATTCCTAATAATGACTACTTAAAATGAGGAAGTCATTCCTTGATGGAAGGCAAATTAGAAACACTTATTGGATCAGCCTCCTTTTACAAGTCACTCCAAGATGTCACCTATACTGTCTGTATCACCTCTACTGCAATACATTTGAATTTCAAGTTCACTCTACACATGATTCAAAAAAGGCTAATTTCTAATAACAAAGGGCACATGGAGAAGGTATTTCAGGAGATGTCAAAGTCTTGGTTGCTGAATTTAATGCAAGTGGAAGTCTGAAGGCTGAAGGTCCAATTACTCATGTGAAGCTTTCCAGGTGGCTTTGCTTCAGTGACCTGAACAGGTGGGAATATGAAGCCCACCTGCTTCTCTGTTTGCACAGTGACTAATACATTTATAAACACTTAATAAACATGTAACTGTGTCAACTCTTAAAATAGTTCTTTCACAACTAGAATTCAACAGATATGAAATTACTAGGTGACTTTGTAAGGCCATTTCCATAAAAGGGGATGGGGCTACACATTCTGGTGATGTTGGAATCTAACCCTTACCCACAGGCTAGAACTCCTGGTCCTTGTTATGCTCAGATCTGACTCAGGAAGCCCAAAAATACATCTACATTACATAGGGAACAGAGAACAGACTGAGACAATTTTATTCCAAACTGCTGAACCGTAACACATTTGGAAGGAAACTTTCCCAAGATTCAGAGTCAACTCTGAGTATTAAAAATATAGATCCATTTTTTTTAACTGCTGGGAAAATTGGACATCCCCAGGCAAAAGAATAAAATTGGACCCTTATCTTACACCATCCACAAAAATCAACTCGAAGTGAATTAAAAACATATATAAGACCTGAACTGTAAAACCCTTAGAAGAAAGCATAGGGAAAAAGCTTCCTGACTTTGGTCTTGACAATGATTTCCTAGACATGACACCAAAAGCACAGGTAACAAAAGCAAAAATAGACACTTGAGACTACGTCAAACTAAAAGGCTTCTGCACAGCAAAAACACACAAAAAACAAAACCCATCAACAGAATGAAAAGGCAACCTTCAGAATGAAGAAAATATGTACAAACCATATATCTAAGAAGGGGTTAATGTCCAAAATATATGACCAACTCCCAAAATCAAATAACAAGAAAAATCCCAAGTAACCCTATTAAAAATGGGCAAAGGAGTTGAATAGACATTTTTCCAAAGAAGACATACAAATGGCCAATAGGTATAAGAAAACTTGCTCAGCATGACTAATCATCAGAAAATTGCACGTCAAAACCACAAAGAGATATCACCGCTCACCTGTTAGAATGGCTATTATAAAAACAACAAGAAATAAAACAAAAGGTAGCAAGTGTTGACAAGGATGTAGACAAACTGGAACCTTTGTATGCTGTTGGAGGGAAATGTAAAATGGTACATCCACTATGAAAAATAGTATGGAGGGTCCTCAAAAAATTAAAAATGCAACTACTTTATGATCCAGCAATCCTGCTTCTGGGTATTTATCCAAAAGAACTGAAATCAGGATCTTGAAGAGATATCTGCACTCCCATGTTCATGGCAGCAATATTCACAGTAACTAAGATATGGAAACAACCTAAAGGTCTGTTAATGGCTGACTGGATAAAGAATACGTAGTACATACATACAGTGGAATATTATTCAGGCTTAAAAAAGAAAAAAATCCTGCCATATACAACAACATGGATGAATGGGAGAACATTATGCCAAATGAAATAAGACAGACAAGGACAAATATTGCATGATTCCACTCATATGAGGTATCTAAAATAGTCAAATTCATAGAAGCAGAGAGCAGCTGGTAGTTGCCAGGGACCGGGAGGAAGAGGCAAGGGGAAGTCGCTGTTCAATGGGTATAAAGTTTCAGTTATGCAAGAGGAATAAATTCTAGAGATCTGCTGTCTACCATAGTACCTATAGTTAGCAATATGGTATTGAGCACTTAAAATTTTAACAAATTTTAACAGAAGGTAGATCTTATGTTAAGTGTTCTTACCATAGAAAACACACACACAAATCCCCAAAATAAAGCAAGCACTAGAAAACTTTTGGAGTAGTGTGTATGTCTATCACCATGATTATAGCAATGGTTTCATGAGTAGATGCTTATGTCCAAACTCACCAAATTGTATACATTAAATAGATACAATTTTTGGTATATCAATTATATCTCAACAAGGCTGTTAAAAATGTAGATCCATTTTCAAATCCCATAATTTAGGAAAAAGGATAATAATTAAGAATTTTAAATAACTATAAATAATCAAGTTAAAAACAAAATTAGATAAATTCAACCGTCATTACATTTAATGGAACATGGCCTCCAAAGACATGGGAAAAACATTGGCCCCAGAGTTAGAAGGCCTGTGTTTGACTACTTTTTTTAACGTAAACTCTCTTGATATAGATCTATTTTTATCCCCCACATCTCACCTACCGTGTTGGTTAGAATTAAATTCTGCTGCAAGTGAAAGAAAAATCACAATAGTGGTAGCATAAACAAGAAAAAAGTTTATTTCTCCTTTATGAAAATTAAGCTCAGGCTGGGCATGGTGGCTCGCGCCTGTAATCCCAGCACTTTGGGAGGCCGAGGTGGGTGGATCACTTGAGGTCAGGAGTTCAAGACCAGCCTGACCAACATGGTGAAATCCCATCTCTACTAAAAATACAAAAATTAGCCAGGCATGGAGGCAGGAGCCTGTTACCCCAGCTAATAGGAAGGCTGAGACAGGAGAATCTCTTGAACCCAGGAAGCAGAGGTTGCAGTGAGCTGAGATCGCACCACTGCACTCTAGCCTGAATGACGGAGCGAGACTCCATCTAAAAAAAAAAAAAGAAAGAAAGAAAAATAAAAGAAAAGAAAATTAAGCACAAAGGAAAGTAGTTCTAGGCTGGCATGGTGACTGCAGAGTCAGCAGGAACCTAGATTCCTACTACCTTCTCGCTTTGCCATCTTCAGCATATAGTTTCCTCTCATGCCCTGGAATGGCAACCTAGGCATTACCCATCAGGCCCACATTCTTATCGGCAGCAAATGGCAAAGAAGGGCATGTGTCTGTTCCTCTTAAAAAGTTGCACTGGACACTTCGGCTTATGTGCATTCCAATGGCCAGAAATGAGCCCCATGGATACATCTTACTGCAAGGGGAGCTGGAGTTTTTATTCTAGGTGACTACATACCTAAGTAAAACCAGACACTGATTTAAAGAAAGAAGGGGAGAACAGATATTAGGGGACAGCTGCAGATATTTAAGCTGTTGGTCAAGATTTAATGAAGATGAAAACCATAAAAAGAAAAAGCTTGTTCTGGATGCCGGTAGAAGCTTTGCATGGGAATGGGGCAGGGAATAAACAAACACAAAGATTCTATGTAGCAGATAAACGCATTCTTTTTTCCATACAACCCCATTAACATTTTCTTGCCTACTAAATACCTTTAAAAACTGAATCCAAAGCTCTGAAGACTACTGGTAGAAAACAAATGCATATGTACAAACTACCTTTGCTTCTGTTTGTTTACATGTTACTAGACAACTGGATAAATGAGTCTTTTGGCATCATAAAACAGTAAAAACAGAATTATCTCTAAAAGTCACATCATGGTGCAGAAAATACAGGTGCTACAGGATTATGCATTTATAACACAGCAGATTTCACAATGACAAAAAAAAAAAAAAAAAAACCAAAACCACAGAAAGAAAATAAAAATGCTTATTAGGCCTTAGTCCATGGTGGATTTCTGGATTGGCCTATTGGCTTTGCTAATTTATCACAACAGGTAAAACAACTCACAGCATAGATACTTCACTCTGAGTGTGAGGTCAAACTGATTCCCTCCTCCACCCCCAATCTTCTTTTGTTTGAAGTCTGAATAGAAGGGGTGATTTACTGGAATGATTTTTTGAACTTGTGGTTTGTTTTGGTACGCATAGAGAATGGATACTGACAGTCACCAGACTTATACAGGCTGTCACTGAATGTGGACATTCACTATGTATATATAGCCTTTGCTGCCACCTCCCTCTAGTTAGTGTTTGCCTCCTAGAAGCCACAGCTGCTGAAAGGAGTATCTAGTTAAGGAATAAACAGGTTTTAGGTGGAGCCAGCAGCTGATTCTTGGCCTGAGGTTGAGTTGAACTCTACACAGAGAACACAGACATACAATGTAGAAGGGGACTCCAGTGAGCCTTGATGCCAACTCTCAAGCTCCCTGAACCCCACGTGGAAAGCAAGGAAGGCTCCCTAACCCAAAGAGACGTTATGGGTGTGGTTTCTCACCACAACATGGCGGGGTACAGTCCTCTCTCTTCTGGCTTGTGGTAGTGCAAGCTGATGGCAGAGAAGTGGGGATTTATTGTTTTGACACCTTGGGTTCCTAGAGAAACTGGATTCTATGCTTTCCAGTCTGGGGAGCCCCTGAACTCCCATGAGGTGCAAGCAAAGCACAGCTGTCCTAGAAAGTCCTGTTTTATGAAGCCAACTGGATGTAATCTTGACTCTTACTGAGTGTGGCCAGCAAAGTACGGGGCAACTCAAACAAATTTACAAGAAAAAAACAACCCCATCAAAAAGTGGGTGAAGGATATGAACAGACACTTCTCAAAAGAAGACATTTATGCAGCCAAAAGACACATGAAAAAATGCTCATCATCCCTGGCCATCAGAGAAATGCAAATAAAAACCACAACGAGATACCATCTCACACCAGTTAGAATGGCGATCATTAAAAAGTCAGGAAACAACAGGTGCTGGAGAGGATGTGGAGAAATAGGAATACTTTTACACTGTTGATGGGACTGTAAACTGGTTCAACCATTGTGGAAGTCAGCGTGGTGATTCCTCAGGGATCTAGAACTAGAAATACCATTTGACCCAGCCATCCCATTACTGGGTATATACCCAAAGGATTATAAATCATGCTGCTATAAAGACACATGCACACGTATGTTTATTGCGGCACTATTCACAATAGCAAAGACTTGGAACCAACCCAAATGTCCATCAATGATAGACTGGATTAAGAAAATGTGGCACATATACACCATGGAATACTATGCAGCCATAAAAAAGGATGAGTTCATGTCCTTTGTAGGGACATGGATGAAGCTGGAAACCACCATTCTCAGCAAAATATCGCAGGGACAAATATCCAAACACCGCATGTTCTCACTCTTAGGTGGGAATTGAACAATGAAAACACTTGGACCAGAAAGTGCAACATCACACACCGGGGCCTGTCGTGGGGTGGTGGGAGTGGGGAGGGATAGCATTAGGAGATATACCTAATGTAAATGACGAGTTAATGGGTGCAGCACACCAACATGGCACATGTATACGTATGTAACTAACCTGCACGTTGTGCACATGTACCCTAGAACTTAAAGTATAATAAAACAAACAAACAAACAAACAAACAAAACAAAACAACATATGGGGCAGAGGTGCCTCGGCAAAAGTCATCTATAAGTCACTTAAGCAAAAACTTGTAGATAAATCAGAACAGAATAGCCATTTTTATAAATAAATCTTGTAGGCCTTAACTACTTCAGCAATATGTGGGTGACCAAAAAAGCTCACTGCCCCCTCAAGAAGCTTTTCTCAGGGATTCCTTACCAAGAAAGTGCCTGCGTGTAACAAAAGGAAAAGTTCCAAGTTTAAAGAATAGGAGAGGTTAGAAACAGAGGGAAAAAGAAGTGAAAGGCATGAAGTCTAGGAGTGCTCACAAGGGCAGCCTTCCTACTGAGTTTAGCTTGCCCAGTGAATCCTAAGGCTTCAAATCCTTTCATTTAGAGTTTGAACATTTTTAATTTACTCTCTAGATATGATAGGAAACCAAGGTTGGTCCTACTGATATTCTAGAATTGCCACATTCTGCCTGCAATAGACTTCCGGGGCCAGCCTGTGAGCTTAACACCGTTTATAACCCCATTTCAGTATACAAGGAACTCCACAGTCACAGCTGCTATTAGACCCATTAAATTTATTAGTGTTAGTCATTTGCAATTGGTGGCAATCTCTATTTTATTTTTTCCCTTTCCAAATGAAAATAATGGGCCTTTTCAAGAAAGTATAACAAAATCTTGCATATCAGTATGCAACAGTAATAGTTAATGTCCTAAAAAATTGCTCAGACTTTTTCCTGGAGCAAGAAGTAAACAGGAAAGGCAACTGGCATTAGAAGATGCCTCGCTGTCTGCATGAAAGCAGGATCGGCAAGAGATGATGAAGTGCTTTCGTTGCGGTGTCACAAAGGGATGGGGCTGCCCACAAGAGCTTCTTCCAGTGTCAGTTCAGTGAACTTTGGGAAACTTCCCTCCCTGACTCCATGACAGCGCCTCCTTGAAGTGCAGTAATGAAAGCATTTCCCCTGATTTCCTCTCTTTTCTGGCTTGTGGCAGCAAAGAAGAAAGACCGTATCATCTGCTGGCTGATGAAAACTTGAATAGCTGTATACTGTCACCAGATCATTTGGAGGAAAAATGATAAATGCCCTAAAGAAAGCCTTGGGATGCTATATGTAAATCTGAGGTAAGAAGAGCCAATAAGGTCTGTGACAACATTAAGCCAGTTACTAGCAATGAAGCAATTATATGCACAACGGAAACAATCTACAGTGACAGCTATAACAAAGGCACAGGAAAGTGGGCAGGAGACTGCTTGAAATAATCTGAAATATCTAGTGTCCTGAGCAGAGAAAAGTGTGACCTGTTCCAGAGCTTGAGGGTCAGAAAGAGCTGGAATTATAACTGGAGACTGAAGGTCTCTATCATACAACTTTCTAATTGTTAAGTGCCTTAGCTTTTAGATGTGCCGGTGAAGGCGTATCTTATAAAATGACCGATGGCAAAAAATCTCAAAGTAAAATGCAAGCATTCTGAATGAAAACAAGGGGAAGGAAAGTAACAATGAGAGTGTAAAAACTATCCATGAAGTGATGGCATCTGACTTGGGCCAGGGTGCTGAGAAATGGGCATACTTACACACTACTTGCAGAAGAAGAAATTGCTACAATCATTCTGTGACAGGCAGTTTACAAATATGTAACCATGGCCTTAAAACTCTGTGATCCCTTTGACTTGGAAAGTCTATTATCTGGATATTATCCTAAAGAAATATGTATGGATATGAAAAGTGATTTAATGAAGTGTTCAACCACCACCACCACCAGCACCACCACCACCATTTCTTAGATGCTCCTTATGTCCTTCACAGGAGAAAATGTTTATTCTGGATGCTGATGGAGGCCTCAGGTGCGGGATGGAGTTGGGAAATGAATAAACACTTAAAATTTCTGTGGAAGAGACAAATGCATACTTTTTGAAGAACAACACATAACCTTTCTTTGCCTCTAAAATAACTTTAGAGATGAATTAAAAGTTCCTAAGAACTGGATGGTAGAAAACAAACGCATATGTGCAAGCTACCTTTGTTTCTGTTTGTTTTAGGTTACTAGACAACTGGATAAATGAAAATGTCTTGGCATCATGAAAACAGTTCTTTTAGTTGAATATTAAAAGGAAAAAACAGAATTATCACAAAAGTCACATCATGGTGCAGAAAACACAGGTGCCACAGCTTTATGCATTTATAACACAGATTTTACAAGACAGAAGAGAATGAAAATGTTGACTGAGGCTATTGTACTTTCCATGTCTTAACTCATTTCATGATGAGGATGTTCATTACAGTGCTATTTATGTTGACCTCCTAAATACCCATTACAGGTGACTGGTTAAAAAAATTCTATTGCCATATAATGCAAGCATTAGGAACCTACTACAAAGGGTCACATAGAGCTATATTTATAGATATGAAAAACAATCTCAACATCCTCTGAGGTAAAAAACACATAAGTACTCTACAGTATATACAGTGTGATGCCTGATATGATTTGGCTGTATGTCCCCACCCAAATCTCATGTTGAATTGTGTTCTCAATTGTTGGAGGTGGGGCCTGGTGGGAGGTGCCTGGATCATGGGGTAGTTCCTAATGGTTCAGCACCATTCCCCTAGTGCTGTCTTCTGATAGAGTTCTCACAAGATCTGGTTGTTTAAAAATGTGTAGCACTTCCCCGTTTGCTCTCTCCTGCTGCCATGTGAAGATGTGCTTGCTTCTGCTTTGCCCTTCCACCATGATTGTAAGTTTCTGGAAGCCTCCCCAGTCATGCCTTCTGTATAACCTGTGGAACTGTGAGTCAATTAAACTTTTCTTTATAAATTACCCAGCCTCAGGTAGTTCTTTATAGGGGTATAAGAACAGACTATTGTTAACAATGCTAATAGTGTCAATGTAAATGAATTGGGAAGATAATGATGTTACTTTTGTTTATCTGGAACTTTTAGATTTTTAGAATTAATGTATTACAAAAAAAGCACAATTTATTTTAAATGAGTTTTTTTTTTAGAAATTAAAAGACTTTCTTCCACAAGAAAAAACATATTTATCTGAGCAATTGTGAGGAAAATAAAGAATATCTCCAAAGTGGGGCTGATGCAGGGAAAGACTCATCCCAGATATGGACCTGCAAGACCTAATAATTCAAAATGGAGAATTCCTGTCAGCAGGTTGCATTTTCAGGGGAAGAGGACATATTTGTAGTACAGAACCCATGGCCTGGGGCATTTTAAGCCAAATTCTCCTTTGTTCACTTGGGAGCACAGACAAGAAGAGGCGCCTCTCCTCTTACTCCTTCTGTGACTCCTCAATTGCTCCTGATGTCCCTGAGCCTACTGCTGGGGTCCTGCACCCCTCGATGTATCTTGGTGGGGTGGAATGCTTATTCTGCTCTCGATGAAAACCTTGGACAAACACTGAAACCCTCAGGCAACTCAAAAACCACTGAACAAAGTGGATGTGTGGGCAGCTGCTTTTACTGGGCATAAGAGGAACTCCCTATCCCAACCACTCTCACCCCCAGAGAAATGCAAAAGCAAAGACAATTTCATAATTTTTCTGGATGGGTTTCTAAGCCTTCTGAACTGTTGCTTAGGGCATTAGGCAACCTATTTGGTTAGGTTTAACAATATTTGTGAAACTGTATGTTTTAAGTTATACTGAGAAGTTTAACAGATATTATACTGTATTATGTTTAGAAAGGAATCTTTCTCCACATGAAGGTCAAAACTTACAAATAACATAGTATGAATAAGTGTACTGAATACACACTTTCTTCTTCAGACAACATTAAAAAGATAGATTTCATAGCTTAAATAATGCTCAGAAATCTTCCGAGAAGAATTCCATTAAGTGCAAAGGTGATATATTTCTTTGTAAAGGGTGTTATTGCCTTTACAAAGATCTGGAGTGATGGTGGTGAAGAAAAAGACTGTCGCAGGTGCATAAAATACATTGACTTGCTTAAAAATATTCTAACTTGTACATGCATCAAGATCATGCAATCAACTTCTGCATAAATTTAATCAGCTTGCCTTTCCTCATCTTATGAATGAGGAAACTGAGGCACAGAGAGGCAAAGTGGCTCGTCCAGTTTAGAAACTTGCTTTTTTACAATGAAAAGATTGTCCCCAATGAAACAAAACCAGAAGCTCAGTAAAACTGTTGAAATATCACTAGACTATTTCACACTGTAGCCACATGCTACTATCAAGGCCAGAAGCTACTTACAGCTTTGGAGGTAGAGGGTGTAGGGGAGGGAGGCCCCTTATATACCAGTTTTCTAGCCTGCTCTGAGATTAGTATCACATTGATACAATCAGAGAAAAAGGTGCTGGTAGGAGTTTTAGCCTATGAATAGTAGTATTATACAGTAGCCCACTTGTACCCAGTGGGGATACATTCTAAGACACCCACTAGATGCCTAAAACCATGATAGTACCAGACGCTATATGTACTATGTTTTTTCCTATACATACATACATATAATAAAGTTTAATTTATAAATTAGGCATATAAGAGAGTAACAATAAAAAAAGAACCATTATGACAATATACTATAATAAAAGTTACATGAATGTGGTCTCTCTCTCTTTCTCAAAACTATCTTATTGTTCTATACTCACTCTCTTCCTGTGATGATTTGAGATGATAAAATGTCCACATGATGAGATGAAGTGAGGTGAATGACTCAGGCCTGGTGGCATAGCATTAGGCTACTACTGCTCTCCTGACAGTAGGTCAGGAGGAGGATCATCTGCTTCAGATGACCCTGGGTCACCGAGCCAAGATGAGGTGGATGTCTAGATGTCAGGAGCAGAAGATGTGGCTGCTAACAGGCGGGTAGTGTACACAGCATGGATGTGCTGGGCAAGGGGATGACTCATGAGTGGGCAGGATGGAGCGGGCTGCTGTGAGGTTTCATCACGCTCCTCAGAACGGTGCTCAACTTAAAACTTATCAGTGGTCTATTTCTGGAATTTCCCATTTATATTTTGAGATGGTGGTTGACCACAGGTAACTGAAACCTTGGAAAGCAAAACCTCGGACTAGAAAGGGACTACTGCATTTTGTATCGGATTGATAGCAAGCGAGAAAAGAGTTCATGAGGTCTCGACCCAAGTGGCTACAACTCACTACTGTGAAGAGTTAATACTACCCTCATGTAAGGGCTGCCATCACCATATTACATGGCTGGATTTTTGTTTAATCTTCAACAGGCTAGCAACTGCAACTCACACCATCTTTCCATTCCTGGGCCTCCATAACCCTAACTGTTATTCCCACGACGTAAAACAGAGCACAAATTTAAGGTGACAAAGCTCTGGTTGGTAGACGTGAAGTATGTGATGAGAACAGGACCCTCTGAGTACTGCACAGCCATTATGAAGTAACTGACCTATATGAAACTGCTACCATGGTTCACAAATTTATTGTCAGGTTCCAGCCTCTAGCTGTTCTCTGATTGTTCTAAGTACTTGACAAACTGAAGCCTTTTCACTTTCCGTTGAAATTGCCTCATCTCCCTGTCAGAGCGCCATGGGGGACTCCATTACTTTTCTGACTTCTCTCCCCTCCTGACAAGTCATTTAGCTGGCTTCTTGTTGTGAAGGCTGTCCATGTCAAATTAGCCAGGGCCCCTATTGTCCTTATTACCACTCGAAAAGCCATCATGAGTAATGCTACGGGGTCCCTCAGTTGTCATCATTTGTCAGAAAGAAAGGGAGTGTGGTTACATATAGCTGACAGGTAATTTCAGTGTCTACAATTACCCCAATTAGTCTTGTCATAAACAATTCGATAAATGCACACCAATACAAACAGATAAACACACCAAGGTCTCTCACTATTAATGCTGTGTATTGGGTAAATCAGTGATATGATGCTATATTTTATTTATTTTTTTAAACTATCCTCAGCTGTGAGCTGGCACTTGCTACCTGGTCAGCACAAATTGTACTATCTACTTTCATTAGCTCATCACCACAAGGAAACTTGAAAGGCTGTGACAAAATTCATTTAGAGAGAGAGGGAAAGAGCAGATTGTTATAACACCTGCTTTAGGCAAGGATATAACAAAGGTTTTCTTTTTGTCAGTTCTAAGCAACTATGGGCTTTAAAGTTCACTATTTTGTGTTAAAACACCAACATATGAAATATGAGAGAAACAGGGAGTTGAAAAATAATCTCCACACTGAAATTAGATATATGATTTGAAAACAAAAACAAAAACAAAAACCTACTGCCAAATGTGCCAGTCAGCAACCATATATTTTAAAACAAGATTGTGGGCTGGTAATTTCACATTTAAGATAATTACAGTTCTCTTCAACTAAGGATTCCCCACTCCCTTTTTAAAACTGTACCTTAAAACCATATAAACCAATAAAGCTCACCATGTTCGGGGTCAAACTTATTTATCTACTCCAGTCCTCATAGGAATTTGTTGAATAAAGGCATCAACGCTTCTCCTTGCTGGACTCAGCACAGAGGTGATAAAGACCTGGTAAGTGTGGCACACTGGTTCTCTCCCATATTCTCGAAATACCAGGGAATGAACCTGTTTTAACACAACACCCTCTAGGAGCACTCTTCAGTTACATTCTATATTCAACCCTGAATAAAACGCCCTTAAGTTCGCTCTTGTGATCCACATAAATAAAGGCTCAAGATTCAACATCTGTAGCGTCCACTGCACCCTGTCTGTTTGCTGACCGCAATCTTAAGTGATGGCTGAAAAACCCAACACGAGGATATTGTTGTAGGAAATTGCTCTTGGCAACTATTTGTTCAAGCTCAAGATTTTTTTTTTTTTTAAACCAACACTAAGAACTCACCAGAAAATAGGACAGGTCTCCCTAATGAGTAATCTATTTTAGCACAGTCTTGTCTAGGCATGACAGTTTACTGAGAGGCTTGAAAAACTCGTAATTACCAGTGTTACAGGGCAATTAATGTATATTACACTGCACTACTCATGGCAGCAACTGTCATTTTCTCAATAAAAATGAGTACTCTTCAGCTAAAGGTGACATTAATTGGGACTTTAATGACTATGCAGAGGAGCTGAAGCCAAATATGAACAAAACAGCGATTCAATGAGCGACTTCAGAAACGAGAAAATTGTACTAAAATGAGATTAATTGCTGTTTAGAAAAAGGAAAGAACCTAAAAAGCTATTAAATTGCAGGGTTTGGGTGCCCGGGTGATGGTTGTGATGTTAATCTTGCATTCTCACAGCAGGCAAATATTCACTAAATTCAGAGCCTTTTGACAGCAGGAAAAATCATGTATGCTTAACTTCAATCCATCAAAAATATATTTCAGCTTTTATCAGTGTTCTAAATACTTCTGCAATTTCAAAAATTACTGCTCCATTCCTTGGCTGTCATCATGCAAATGTGAACACTGTCAATATTGCTATGAAAAATTTCCCAGCTTCAAAAGGCCTACTTCAGTGATAAAGAAAGAAAAACGTGAAGATTAGAATTGCAAAACACACACTACTAATATAACAGAAATCAAACAATAAGAATTTAATGTTTAAGTTGTGGAAACTGCTAAAATAGAAAATGATGGGGTGGGCCTTTTTTTTGGTAGAAAAATCAAAGAAAAATAATTCTGAAATTCTTTCAAGGCGTGTAACTTTACGCTTAATTAATCATCCCCAATAATTAGGACAGAATTTTGCAGCTTGACTTCAGGTACTATAATTGTTAATACTGTTCTCTAGTTTCTAAAGGCCTTTTTATCCTTGCTTCTGCGTTCTTTAAAAACAATTATATAATTGTTTTTCTTTATGGCCTTTTCAAATATCATGATGACTGTATATACAAAACACAGCACTTAAACTTTGACATGTAAGGGGGATAAATATATTTGATAACTCTGAAGTTATATATTCCCTTACTTGGCCTTTTTTTTTTTTTTTTTTTTAAGAGAGACCATCAACTTAGTATTTTTGTTAAAGAGGGAGTTTTCAAAAGAGTTATATTTTGGACAGAAATGTAGCATGCCCAATAGCTGCCCCATAAAAAGATTAGGCCTGACTTCTGAATACTGTGCACTTTCCTACTGCATAAGCAATCCTGTTTGTTCTCCATTTTAATATTTAAAGAGCCTTCTCATCTACAGTTTAGGTCAGGGCTCAAGACACATTAACAGCCTTATAATTCTGGACATACTCAAGAACCACATCCACTAAATGACAGGGGGTAGTGAAATAGTGTACTTTCCATCTTCAAATCAATGATAAGCCCTGTCTATTCTAAAAATCCAGAAATACAAATCACCTGACCTCCATTATGAAGACTGGTTATTGGCCACTTGTCTGCCAGAATATACTTAGAGGGCCACTGTGGGAGAAGAGGAAGGAATGGAGAGAGAAACACATGCATACCCACGCATAAGTCTGTACAAAACGGCAGGATATTCTGCCAAGTTTTATCTTCTAGCTGTTTTATTCACTATAAGCATGCTTTCTTACGTTTTGAACCCAAACTTGAGTGTAATCATCTTTGCAAAACAAGTTGCTTTCAGGGTCCAGCATTTCTCCAGTATTACCTGCTCCTCCTCTTCTTCCAATTTTCCCTTTTCTTGTATCTAGACTTTCATGTTAACAGCACAATTCTTCCCCAAGAGTCTAACAAATGTTCTTTTTAGTCCTTTTCTGGGGGGTGAAAAGGGGCTTTTGTTATTCATTGTGCCATTTCAAAAACCAAGCTTCTCTTATACCTCAAAAACAGCTTTATTTTAAAGACAAAAAATTCACCAAGCTCCCCCTAAAAGTCTTTTCAGGCAGAGTCCTTAGAGAACACAGGTGCCTTTGGCTAAATTATCTCCACTGACAAACCATTCACATAAATTTGCTTTTTTTTTTTTTTAATAAAAAAGTACATGTCAATAGTTTGATTCCATTTTGTCTATGCAAATACCATTGATAAAAATTTCAATGGAAGTTTTCAGGGAGTGGAAGAGTTCCAAGCTAGGTATTGAAATGGGACTCAGGAATAGGATACTAATTCACCAAACTTGCCAAGAATGATCTAACCCGGTAGCCATACAAAGGCAACTGCAAACCATCTACATGATCCCAGATAATCCCTTATACTGTATCTCTAGGATCTCATCTCCATTCTGCAGTTTACTGTGAGAGGCTCCGTTTGGGGCTCCAGGTTTCCCATTTGCAAAATGGGAGCAACTTTGTCATGCTAAATTTGCTGCCTGTGAACTAGCGCTGAGCACTTGGCAGACACCACCAGCTCCAGGAATGTTAACGATTGGAATAAACCTTTAGGAGAGTTCCTAAAATGAATTTATTTGATACTGTTGTTCAATTGCTGAAATTCTTTACCCCTCACAGTTGCCGCAGTGGTGCTATGAGAAAAGGTGATCACATTGAATCATGCGAAAGGCTTGCACAAAAAAGCAGGAGGCATTGCTCTTTCAGCTAAGGCTGAAATTCCATTTTTAACCTCATTATTATTTTGCACAAATATCATACGTCTCTCTTCCAAAACACTATTTAATAGTTTAAATTTCTTATTCAGGCCCCTCCTAAGATTGAAATGTACCACAATGCCCATCAATCTCACAATTGACAGACCATGTTTAAGCTGGGAATAGTGACAAGTTACAGGGACTTTTTTAAAAAAATCAATTCCAGGAGATTAGTAAGATGCGTTTTTAGATACATACCCTCAGAACATTATAAACTCAGTGAGAAGCCAAACTGGAATATCTCAAGTTTGGAAGATGAACAATATTTTGATGTGCCAAGGCTAATACATTATATGTTTCGAGTCTTACTATTAAGACCTGTAGCAACTGTTTCAAGAGATGAGTAGAAATGAAACAAATGGTAAATGTTTATTCAGTCACACAGTTCTGAAAGAAAACAACTGTTAATTTGCATTAACTTGGGATCACTTAGCAGACTGCTTTTTAAGAGCTATCACCTCTCAGCAGCCCATAAAACAGGAAGCTTTCATTCACATCCCTTGTACCTGCTCCAGCAATATGATATTTCATTTACATTCATTTTCCACTCACCACCAATATTCAACAAATTAAAAGTCACTTCAAAACAGATAGCGTTCTTTGTCATTGGGAGGAGAAAGTCAGTGCAGACAGATGCAGCCTCATCTACTTTATCTTCTGAAATACAAAGTTCTAGAAAGATAAACTTAAGGTATGTTTTGAGTCATCAATTAAACATTGTATTTAATATATCTTTGGCATAACCAGGACAGTTATCCTGCATAAATAAAAATTTAGTGCCCTATATTTATAGGCAACAGAATCTAAGCTATTTAAATGAAGGTAAATCATTTTTATTCATCAACTTTTATTTCGAGTTCTGGGGTACATGTACAGGATGTGCAGGTTTGTTACATAGGTAAACGTGTGCCATGGTGGTTTGCTGCACCTATCGACCAATCACCTAAGTATTAAGCCCAGCATCCATTAGCTATTCTTCCTGATGCTCTCCCTCCCCTGCACCCCCAACAGGCTCCAGTGTGTGTTGTTCCCCCACCCATGTGTCTATGTGTTTTCATTGTTCAGCAGCCACTTACAAGTGACAACATGCAGTGTTTGGTTTTCTGTTCCTGCGTTAGTTTGCTGAGCATAATGGCTTCCAGCTCCATCCATGACCCTGCGAAGGACATGATCTTGTTCCTTTTTATGGCTGCATAGTATTCCATGGTGTATATGTACCACATTTTCTTTATTCACTGTATCATTGATGGGCATTTGGGTTGATTCCACGTCTTTGCTATTGTGAATAGTGCTGCAATGAACATACACGTGCATGTATCTTTATAACAGAATGATTAACATTCCTTTGGTTATATACCCAGTAATAAGATTGCTGGGTCAAATGGTATTTCTACTTCTAGATCATTGAGTAATCGCCACACTGTACTGTCTTCCACAATGGTTGCAAATAGCAATTTTTTTTTTATATTTTTAGTAGGGATGGGGTCTCACCATGTTGCCCAGGCTGGTCTCAAGTTCCTGGCCTCAAGTGATCCACACACCTTGGCCTCCTAAAGTTTTGGTATTATAGGCGTGAGCTGCTGTGCCTGGCTCTCACATTAACTTTAGAGTCTTCCACCTAGGCAACACTGGGTGCTTTTAGAACATTGTTTTCAGGAATACCTAGGAATTTCCATGGCATTAAGACATGAATTAAATCTCTTCTCAACCATATGTATGCCTATTTTTAACTCTATTAGTGCCATATATATATATATATATATATATATATATAAAATAAGCATATATATATGCTTTTATCAATAAAAATGGAATGAAGTTCTTGGTAAAAGCAAACATAAAGAACACTTAGTTAAGTAGTAAAAATATTCATTTTGTGGATATTGATCTAAAATTTAAAATACCTAAATCAATCAGACTGGGCTTCCCTTACCCAGTACCGTCTAAATGTTAGAAGGTTGTTCATTTATTTTAATGTTTCAATACAAAAATATAAAAAATAAAAGGGGAGGTTTTGGCAGTTCACATTAGCAAAAAGACAGATGCTTTTTCTTGTCCTACCTATAATTTTGTTTGTTTGCTTTTTTACCTCTGAGTTGTCCACCCAACTAGCCCCACACCTCCACCTGCTGATCTCCATGGCTTTTCCTAATAAGTTTTGTAGGTCTTTGTCTCCCTTTTCAGCAGTTGAGTTATAAGGTTGGCCTCTTTTATAATTATAGTATAGCTTTATCTTAAAAAGTTTCGGAACTGGCAATTCAGTGAGTTAAAATGGGAAGATATTTTTCAATTGGCCAAACAGCTAATTCTTAAAACTGCCCTTACTTGGAATGAGGGCAGCTGGATCAAAACAGGTCTCCTCCCACAGACTGAGCTCAAGCCACTGCCTCAGTGCTCCTTCCTGCTGTACGTTAAGTATTGAGCTATCAGCAACGTCACCCTCCATCCCACACATCAGAGACTGTAAGCACCTTGAGGGAAGGAATCAAACCCATCCTTGGATGCCTGGTACATAGTAAATGCTGAAATCCTGGCTCTGACGCTGATGAATTAATATTGGACAAGTCACTTTATCTTTCTGAGCCTTTGCTTTCCTATCCATTAAAATGCTTTCAGTTTCCTAGAGGAGTGGTTAGCTCAAACGAAATAATGTATATGGAGGTGCTGAATAAATGCAATGGATTACTACAGCTGTTGTTAATAATTAGCATTTGGATTTATAGAGTAAAATTGCACTGTTTCATGGGACGAATGAGGGAGGTTCCTAATGGTCTCAACAGTTTTTTTTGCCATAAGGAACATACAAAAATGTAGTTCCCTAAGAATTTTAAGATGACAGTCATACCCACATAGGTTTTTTGGTTTGGATTTGTTTCTTCTTCCCCTCTCCTGTGCCCCCACCACACCACCACCGCGAACCAACACATAATTCTTTTCTAGGCTCTGGATCCTGCTCAGGAAGAAGTGAAGTGCTCAGGTGACTGGGTCTGGAGTTTCAAACAGAGGCATTTTCATTACGGCAACACAATGCATTTGCAGAAGGTATACTGGCTCTGCTAAAAGGCAGGATTCTGCTGAGGTGGCCAAAAGGTCGGGGGACCTGGTTGGTGCCCTGTCTCCCACCTCCCAGCACCAATGCCCTTTCCTTCTCAGACTTGCTGCTCCTTCAGAACCTGTGTCCTCCCTTCACTCAATGGCCTGGTGAAAATAACATAGATAGGAGAAAATCAGCGTGAAAAAAGAACACTTGGACAGGTAGGCCACCTCTCTATGGTTGTTTGGGAGCTAATAAGCTGGCCTTGACAAAAACACAGATGTACTTTTTTGTTTTTGCTTTTTAAAAGAAGAACCACTGTTCAATTACTGATGCAATAGCATCCCATTCCTAATGTTCAGATCCGATCTAGCGGCAGACAGCCAGCTGAGTTCAGTCTGAATCGTGCCACAGACTTCATAAGACAGCATTTATCTAGTGTAGGATGAATAATTTCCACAGACAGTGGAATTATTTGAGAAATCTATAAAAATAATGAAACTTCAGAAACCTTGGTGAGCTTAAATGCTACATGGGCCACATATCTCCAGTTCCCTAAAGGACAAAAGGCACTGCAGGTGAATCCAGGGCAGGGCATTATTTTTAAGTCACCAGAGCAATACAAACACATTGTTTGCTTTAGGTCATCTGGTTTGTCTTAATCACAAGCTAAAAATTCATTTATAATGCAGTATACAAATGCCATGTTTATATCAGTATCATATGCTGCTTGCTTGAAATCGTATACATTAAAATTAAGAACAGAAATCCAAGTTAATGGTCTAAGACAACCAATAACAAAACCACTAAATTCCAGTTGTCAAACATCATTTAATATGTATATTTCTGGGGTTTTTTGGAACAGTAATTATTAAAACTTAAAGCGATACGAGTGAGTGTTTATGACTTCCTATTGAAAAGCCCAACTTAAAGAGCATTCATTTCAGGTTGAAGAAAATCACGTGGCCGTCTCTGTGCGATGGCCTACTGACTTTATATCCTCTTGTCAAACCTCAGCAGTTTTATTTGTAGTGATACATGCCGGAGAAGGTTGGAGGTTAAAGTTGATAGGAGGGGCAACAGGAAAATCAACCAACTCCTTTCAAGAGATTACAACCTTTAGCATTTTGGGTCTGTCGGCAGTTTCTGCAAACTTTACAAGTCTGTGGTTGGTGATGTTTTTAAAAAACTGACCCTCAAATCAGAAGTCACATAGATCTAGTAAATGCACTTTTGCTTTGAAATAATCCCAAGTGGTGAATGTACCCCCCAGTTGATGGCTGCACGTTTTGTTTGTTTGTTTGTTTTTACTTTTTTGGTACCTAAATCTAAAATGGAAAAAATATCTGCTAACTTCTCAAGTATCTGAGACCTTGGAAAGTGAAATTACTAATCCGAATTCACTATGTGGTTCCAAAAACAGGGAAACAGCTGTTGTGAGAGAGGAAAAAAAAAAAGGAAAATGAAAAGGCCTCTGCTGGAGGCAAACTTTGTTGGGCAAGGAGACAGTTTGTTAGTGCACCGGTTTCTGCCCTGCAGAAGTGTTCAGATTCTTAGCAGTGTCACACTGAAAAGTGAGACATCTGGCTATGGCATCTATGCCACAGCACAGAATTATAACAAAGTCACAAACTAAGACCCGGCAATGACTGCAAAACATCTCATCCCGTATCTATTTACCTCAACTTGGCACACACTGGTTTACTTACAGATACTTTCCATCAAGTACTTCTAGTTACCTGTTGTCAAATGTGTATTATGTGGCAGGCACTATGTATATCTAAGCTCACTCAAACTTTACAAGAATCCAAATTGTGCCCATTTTACAGATGAGTAAGAAAAGAGAGAGAAATTGAGAGATTTGCCCCAGGTCATACAAATGAGAGACCAAATGAGAACCAAAGTTATTTCCCACTGCCACTCCCCCAGACCTGTGCCCTTTCTACTCAGCTATATTGCTTCTTGGGTTGTAACGAATGATTAAATAACTTCTAGACTATTTCCCTTCATGGTTAAATTTTTAAAATCCTTATTAGCTGATTTTAACTCACAGTGTAGTGTTATGTAGCAGCAAGGGAACAAGACTCAGAGTGAAAAATCCTCAGGTCTTGTATTAGGTCAGCATGTGGTTGGCTCGGGGGTCTGATAATATTATTGGCTGCCACTAATTATTAGGAAAAATGTTTTGGTATTCAAAGAGTTCTCTATGTCAAAGTGGTAGACAGCAGTTATATAATACTAAGTACTTGTGAAATTCAAACAATTCCTACCATAAATGTTAATTCATTTCTGTTTTTAAAGATTTTACTCAACCCACTGATTAGTGTTCAACACTGAGTGACTTAAATCTCCCTGGGCCTTGGTTTCTTCACTCATGAAATTAGATTATATCTATGAGAGATCTTGGCTAGCTCTAAGAAGACTAAGTCTGTGATTTTTTAAAGAAAACCACTTAATTCTAATAAATACACTCATAAAGCTTTTCAAGGAAATAAAGACACTTACCTTTATGAATGAAAGTTAAGAAAAGAAACACAACTTTGAGAAAAGTTCACTTATAAAAAAGAGCATGGAATAAATGAAAACTCTAGGCCAACTGAAGCCGTCCAACAGCCGCCCTTTTTTTGGGAGCCCTTGCAGCTGCAAATAAATGCTTTAAAAATAAATTTACTTGGGAATGACCTGAAAGGCAAATTATTTTGTCACCCAGAAATGTTTGTTACAAGTGTTACGGGAACTATCAACTTTTATTTAGAGAGATAATATAACAAACATTTTCCAAACATTGCTACTTATTGTTTAAGATGAGGAAACACATGCTGGTTGAAACTTTTTTTTTTTTAATGCACTAACTGCTGAGAAATTTCCAACAATTTGAAAATGTTTTTTGTTATTTACAAACACATTTCATAAAGATTCCTGGTAGAAAATGTTTCCTCGCTCCTGTAATTCCAGCACTTTGGGTGGCTGAGGCAGAAGAATCGCTGAGCCCAGGAGTTCCACACCAGCCTGAGGAACATTGTGAGATCCCATCTCTACAAAACATAGAAAAATTAGCTGGGCATGGTGGCATGCACCTGCAGTCCCAGCTACTTGGGAGACTGAGGTGGGAGGGTCACTTGAGCCTGGAAGAGGGGGACGCGAATGCTGCAGTGAGCCATAGTCCTGGGCAACAGAGTGAGACCCTGTCTCAAAAAAAAAAAAAAAAAAAAAAAAAGACACGTTTCCAACTTTTAATGATACCTTGTTTTCTTTTACTCACAAAGTAGCAGTGTGTGTGTGTGTGTGTGTGTGTGTGTGGAACCATATATTTATATATGATATGCATATACGTGTATGATATGCAGGTAACAGTTTTGTTTTGTTTTTGTTTTTGAAATAGATGAAGCATTAAAACAGAGAACATAGCACACCAGAACTCAGAAGCACTCAGTTCAATTCCTGGTGCAAATAAGTTGGACACTAAACAATGCAAATGATTTAAATGGTACTGAATATAAGGAATGTAACTACTCCTATCATAAATACCTTTCTTTCCAACCTAAATTTAACAGAAGAGGACAATACATGTCCTTAATATCCCATATATATTTTCTCCACTTCCATGTATCTGTTTTTGTTCCTTTTCTATTTTGCACTTGTATTTCAGCAATAACTTCCCACTTGGCCTCCTTCCTCTTTCTCTCTACTATTTCCACTCCCCAATACAGACAAACAAAACAAACTTCCAAAAGCAAAGAGCCCCACAAACCAAACACCTCTAATTGGTCTTCTACATGGTAGCTTAATAATACTGCCACATATCAAATGAATTATGTTAGCAATTTGCTCAACAAAACTATCAGCGCTGCCCCAGAGACACTGAAGTCTGTGGTGTCACAGGAAGCTTTTCTTTACCTGGATCCTGTTCCTTTCGCTCTAATTGTACTAAAAACTGTTTTTTGTATATATTTCTGTGTCCTATGATTTGAACAATTTTTCATAAGTAGTATTCTTTTTTTTTGGAGATGGCGTCTCACTCTGTCGCCCAGGCTGGAGTGCAATGGCGTGATCTCGGCTCATTGCAACCTCTAACTCCTGGGTTCAAGCGATTCTCCTGCCTTAGCCTCCCGAGTAGCTGGGATTACAGGCATCCACCCCCACGCCTGGCTAATTTTTGCATTTTTAGTAGAGACAGGGTTTCACCATGTTGGCCAGGCCGGTCTTGAACTCCTGACTTCAGATGATTCACTCGCCTCGGCCTCCCAAAGTGCTGAGATTACAGGCATGAGCCACTGCACCCGGCCTCATAAGTAATATTCTTAAATGAGTTAGTTTAACTGATATGAATCAATTCTATGCTTACACCCTAAGAGTATCTAAAAGTAATATATTCATATTTATTGATAGATGCCTAAAATCAATATCAATAATATAATAATATTACAGATGAGGAAGAAGACTAGTTAACAGTTGTTTTGAAAGTTCAACAGACTTGTCATTCAGAGTTCTCTACAGTGAACCATGCATATTTTTGGAAAGTAATAGTTGTTTAAAATAATAATGAGACCAGAATTAGATTATTCAGAATGTAATATATACCAAAGTTGAACAAATGGTTAATTTAAAAATATATATAATAAGTTCATTCTGGCCAGCATCATGTCTTTAAAAGTTCAGTACTTATCAAAGAGTGGAAATTTAATGGAAAATAATGACAAATTTATTATCTTTTATAGGGTCCTGGGCTGATAACAAATGAAGTGTTTAACTTAATATAAATATTTTAATGGTAAAAATGAATCACAGCTCTACAAATGCTTGGAAAAGTGCAATTTTTTCCCTTTAGTTTTATTATAATCTATCAGAAACCTCTGATGTTTAAACTGTATGTATAACCCTGGCTGGGTTTCCATTAAGATGCATTTATCATAATCTGCTCATACATATACTCTCAAATATACAGACAATAAGAACATCACCACTTATTCACCCTTTCTGCTTCCTGACTTATGGATGTATACAAAAGTGATTGCAAATAATGATATTACAGGTACTCAGCTGCTTCTGGGATGTAGAAAGCTAGACATGGCAGTATTCAGGTCAATGGCCATATATCAGAAAAACTTCATGCCACAGAGATGTCCTACAGCCAAAACATTCAATGTCTCAAATTACACATGGGCTAATTAGAGCTGTACACAAAACAGCAGTATAGTTGAAGGCCATTTTCAAAGTTATCATCTGAGCTTGATGTGCAGAGGGGGTCCGATTCAATTTGGTGAAATGAGATTCAACTCAAACATTTATAGAGATTTATTTTATCACAGGTGGTTGGAAAAACCTTCCCTAATCATGTTATCATGATTTGAAAAAAAATGTATTCATTCATTTCCTTGTTTATTTTCTGTCTTGCTCATCACAGTATGAGATCCCTAAGGATAGGGCCCACATCTGTCTTGTTCATTTCTGCATTCCTGGTTCCCAGAATGGTGAACATAGTAGGCGCTCAAGAGGTACCAACTTAATGAGTGAACATATTACCCTTGCTCTCAAGGAGTTTATGTGAATTTGGTACACTGGAAAGGGCAATCAGACCACGCTGAGGGAGACCTAGATCCCAGGATGCAGCTAGAGAGATATTCAGAACCAATAATCCTCTGGCTTCTTAATGAACATAAAAAAGATGCTAATGTGGCTGGTTGACATTTGCTCCCCTATGGAGAAACCAGGATAACAGGGCTGTGGGTATGGACCAGAGGCCTGGGGGAAGTACTCAGTAGTCTGTTGCTGTCTCCACTGAAGCAGATGTTGCTCTGAAGAGCCTGCAAGGAAAGTGGGCCTTTTTTGCTATGTCCCCTCATTGCAGAATTCCTCTGTACAAAATGGAAGGACAGAAAAAAATGTTTGCAAAGTCAGTCATCTGGTGATGCATTTCATGAAGGTCTAGTAAATTTCAGGGAAATAGAAAACCAAAATTTTCAGAGACTTTTTAAGAAAAAAAAAAAAAAAGACAAAAAATGTCTTTAGAATGAAGAATAAAATGTTTAAGTCAATGGGTTTACAGACAGCCTCGTGTTTTTTTTTGGTTTTATTTTGTTTTAGATAGGTTCTCCCTCTGTTGCCCAGGCTGGAGTGCAGTGGCATGATCATGATTTACTGCAGGCTCGACCTCCAGGGCTCATGCGATCCTCCCACCTCAGCCTCCCAAGTAGCCAGGACCACATGCGCATATCACCATGCTCAGTTAATATTATTATTTGTAGAGATGGGGTTTCACTATGTTGCCCAGGCTCGTCTCAAACTCCTGGGCTCAAGCATCCCTCCTGCCTCAGCCTCCCAAAGTGCTGGAATTACAGGTGTGAGCCACTGCACCTGGCCTGCCTCATGGTTTCTCTTTACACCTTGGAACACTGAGGGTATATATAATACTCACTCCATACCTGGGTTTCAAGCATCAGAAGTTGCAGGGACCCTGACTGCAGCATCCACTGATACTAGGATTAGTTCTGATTATTGCATTTGATTAGATTAAAAGAGGGCACTGCACTGTTGGGACTTGATACTGAAAAGAGATGTTGCAGAACACAGAATATCTTTGTGTGTTTTGGTACAGGTAGCAGGTTATGTTTAGGCTAAGCACCCTACTCTATGACTTTGCTAAGATTATCTACTGCTTATTTCTTAAATAAATTTGACTCTCAGTGACTTTCCTTTCCAATCTATTCCCCATATTGCTGCTCATACAGTCTTTCTAAATAAAAATATGATCATGCTACTCCCCTAATTAAAATATTTCAAAGGCTTCCCACTGCCGAAGTGATTTTTCCCCTACATGACCTGGCTCGTCTTACTTCTCCAATATCATCTTCTCTATCCTGACACACAGTTGATACTTCAGAAATACCAAAGTTACTTACCATTTCTTTAATATACTATCTATTTTCAAACTTCTCCACTTTCATGCCAGGTAATTTGGTCTGCCTTTTAATAGGTTACCTAGAAAACCTTTGTGCTTTTCTTATGACTCAACTCATGGGTCTTCCCACTCCCTCTGGCTTGAATGACTATTTCCATTCTGAGGACCCAAGCCAGTTGCTACTGTACTTAACATACTAAATTCCTTGTTAACATTTTTGTTTATTTTACAAGACCATGAGCTTACTGAGGCTTGAGGCCATGCTTATCTTTTATCTTTATTGCCTACCCCTGTACCCAGCACAAGGTACCAGTTTAATGAATAAACGAATGAATGTGTGAATGAGTGAACTTCAGCAATCTGCTGCAGTTTTGAAAGAAAACTGGCCTGCATCTGGAAATACTTATTCTACACAGGCAAACCAACAACAGGAAGACTCCAGAAGGAGGTCTCAACTCAAGCACATTGGGGTCTCAGAAATCTATGATGGTATAAAGAAAATTGTGAGAAAGCAGTTCACAAAATAAAGGTGACCTGAAAAAGTTTATTTTACATAATCAATGTTGAATTTGAGATTCTGTTTGATTTTTGCCTTCTTCGTTGGCCATCAAAACTCAATGTACTGATTTTTTGTTTTCCTGTGTATTAACGAACAAACACTAAAGAGAAAACAAAAGCAAAACAAAAAAAAATTGTTTTGCATAGGCTTAGACTACTAAGAACTTTTATGCATTAGAACATGTTGATGTTAACAGTAAGGGTTCGTATCTCATTTTACATATTATTCCATTTATACTCTATTTTATGTATTTATAGATATAAATTGGCTTCCAGCTGGTCTTGTCTAGTTGGGTCTTTGACGGTGGTCCAGATGAATGACCTGTAATTTCAATCCTTCCTTTCCTAGTATCTCACATATACACACTAGTTTTTGTAGGTCTCTGGACACTTGGACATTTGGTTCCATCTACTCTTTTATTTGGATAATTGGTTTCATCTACGCTTTTATTTTCAGTTCACAAAGGAACTTTTCCTGGCTTATGTATAAAATATTATGGTTAAGATTTTGAATCTGATTTTTAAGTATTTAAATAAACCAAAATACCAAAACCCAAACCACGGAGACAGCCCTCGTTTTACTCCACAAAGTTCTTTCCTAGTGTTATGTACCTCCCAAAAACTTTGTATGTTGAAGCCCTAAATTCCAGCACTTCAAAATGTGACTGTATTTGGGGACAGGGTCTTTACAGAGGAAATTAAGTTACAATGAGGTCATTAGGGTGTCCCTAATTGAATGACTAATGTCCTTACAAGAAGAAGAAACTTGGACACAGATATCACAGAAGAAAGATGATGTGAAGACACAGGAAGAAGAAGCCCTTCTACAAGCTAGGGACAAATCCTCTCCTCATGACACTCAGAAAGAACCAGCCCTGCCGATACTTTGATGTCAGCCTTCCAGCCTCCAGAACTGTGAGAAAATAAATTTCCGTCCTGTAAGCCACCCAGTCTGTGTGGTATTCTGTTATGACCACCCTAGGAAACTAGGACCCCTAGAGCATCATTTTATTTTTCAATGCTAGTACTTTGTAAACTAAAAAAAAAAAAAAAAAGCTTTTCAAATATTAAATTGTCATTATAATTATTTGATGAAGACAATGATGTCAACTGGTCTTTGAAGTTTTTCAGACTTAAACACTTACAACTAGTTGGAAATACTCCAGTCTAGGAAATATGGAAGGTAAAGTTGTTTTGTTTCTACCAGGGTTTGATTATTTGGCAGGAGTGCACTGGTTACCCCATATGCCTCTCCTTTTTATGCTGCTGTACCAATTCCTCATAAAGTAGAGGTCATGCATCAGGGTGGTTCTGGGATATATTTTGCTTCAGTGCCCTGAAACTACAGAATTAATTGTCACTATTTAAAGTGTAGGAGATAGCCCAGGCCATCACAGTAAATTCTTTAAAAAAGCTGGGTGTGGTGGTCCACACCTATATTCTCAGCTACTTGGGATGTTGAGGTAGGAAGATTGCTTGAGCCCAGGAGCTAGAGGCTGCAGTGAGCCATGATCGTGCCACTGCACTTTAGCCTGGGTGAGAGAGTGAGACCTTGTCTCAAAATAAATAAAAATAAAAAAAAAATTGAAATGCAGGAGAGCAAACATAATTTTTTTTTTTTTTTGAGATGGAGTCTCGCTCTTGTTGCCTAGGCTGGAGAGCAATGGTGCGATCTCAGCTCACCGTAACCTCCGCCTCCTGGGTTCAAGCGATTCTCCTGCCTCAGCCTCCAGAATAACCGGGATTACAGGCATGCACCACCATGCCCGGCTGATTTTTGTATTTTTACGGGAGATGGGGTTTCTCCGTGTTGGTCAGGCTGGTCTCGAACTCCCGACCTCGGGTGATCCACCTGCCTCAGCCTCCCAAAGTGCTGGGATTACAGGCGTGAGCCACTGCGCCCAGCCCATAAAAATTTTGATATTCAGCATGATTTGAAGAATTACGAGATTTGACCATAGTGGGCCCATTATATCTCCATAGCCACATGAGATGAGCTGAGCAGGGCTGTTTCACGTAGAAGTGCTACCATCTCTCGGTATCACCACAGTTTCCACTCCTTTCTGTTATCTGTCTGGTCCCTGCATAATCTCGGATCTAAGGTGATGTCATTTGGGCTTTTCAGTTATGACAGGTATGGTTAGTTAGGATGCCTAAGTATATTTACTATCTCCTCTTACGTAGCTTAAAAGTGGTACTCCCCACCCCCCACATCTACCTCACTCATATCCCACCACTGATGTGATTATCGTCCACACAAGAGAGTCCAAGAGGGCATTCCAAAGGGGACACAGGTATTAGATGCAAAAAAGAGGTCCTTCATCAAATAAGTTTAAGAAATGTAGGCTTAAACAATGAAAACATGTTTCCTTGACACAGAATTTCTCAGAGCCGTTAATATTCTAATGTAGTAGGCAACATTTTCCAAAATTATTCAACCCCCCAACTTTTGTTTGGAGAGCATTTTCAACAAACCATATTCAGTGAAACTTTCGGGCAAGCCCTTTTCCAGTACAAAATAAATTTGTTGTTTTTGCTAAGCAATGTGGATTCCTGTAGTAAATATGACATTTTAGATACATATTCAATCAGAGTTTAAAAAAAGAATAAAACTTTGTATATTTCATTCAGAATACTAATTTTTCAAATTTTTTGGATGTGATATGTGCAGAGATGGCCAACACTGTGGATCTTTTAAATTCAATAACATGGTTTTTGTATAATTTTCAGTAATCAAAATGGTAATAGGAGAATACATACTTATTTTCAGTTGGATCCAAGACATCATCTCATGCTTTACTTTAAACTTGCTAACATTTGGAATATTTGCATAATTAATTTTGAAGTTTGATACTTGCCAGTAATGGTTAAAATACGTGTCACAGTGTGCATTTCCTATAAATGGCTTTATAAGTATATTGTAACACGATCTCCAAACATACTGATAACATATAAAACAATACCAATAATTTTTCTTTAAGTTGGTATTATTTCTCTCAGAAATTGCAGTGGGCTTCCCAGTAAAACCAAAGCGAGGGAGAGAGGAGACAGCCTGTCTTTTCTTTGTTTTTTGTTTTGTTTTGTTTTGTTTTGTTTTGTTTTGCATTTAGAGACAGGCTTTCACTCTATTGCCTAGGCTTCAGTACAGGGTTACCATCACTGTTCACTGTATGCTCAAACTCCTGGGCTTAAGGGATCTTTCCACCTCAGTCTCCCAACTAGCTGGAACTACAGGCACATGCCACTATGTCTGGCTTTTTAAATTTGTTTTTGTTTTTTGTTGTTGTTGAAACAGGGTCTTGCTATGTTGCCCAGCTAGTCTCAAATCCCTGGCTGCAATTCAGCTTCCCACCTTGGCCTCCCAAAGTGTTGGGATTATAGGCATGAGCCACTGCACCCAGCCTTGTTTTCTTCAAACCGCAAAACTCAAAGACTGATGATTGTTTATTTTCCATGGCATATATATTAGATTTGTAACATTCCTTCCAAGTCTCAGAAACTTTGGGAACATCAAATGTTGTAACATTAGCAGTTTGTGCTATTAACATTGGTACATGATATTTACATTTTAAAAATACATTATGCCTATTCAAAATAAACCATTCAGTGCCTGGCACATAATAGGCTCTTATTACTTTAATCCTAGTGATACAGGGGTAAACAAAACAGACAAAAATCCCTGTCCTTGTGAAACTTTTATCCTAGTGGGGCAAACAAAACAGAGGGATATTATAGATCATTTTAGGAGGTAAGGATTATGGAGAAACATGGAACAAAAAAGAAAGCTGTAGGCTGTTGGGGGGGTCAGATTAGGTCTGAGAAGGTGGTGATGTGTCTGACTTTGGACAGTGAGCTACGTATGTACCTCAGGACAGTGCTTCATGTAACAGGGAGTCAGCACAAAAGGCCTGGGGCAGCAACGTACTTGACAAGTTTGAGGAAGAGCAAAGAGGCCAGAATGGCTGTTGCAGAGTGGGTAAGCGGGGAGTGTGTGGTAGGAGATGAGGTCAGAACAATAACTGGGGCAGAACGATCTAGGGCCATGAAGGCTGATTTTGGCTCTTACTCTGGGTCATAGGGAACCACTGCAAGAAGTGGCATATGAGGCAGAGAAACAAGAATGATTCCAAGGTAGTTCATCTAAGCAAATGGAAAGACAGAATTGTCAAAACTGAGATGGGAAAAACATTTAAGGACATCTGGAATTCAGATATGGCTACGCTGAATTTGAGATATCTGCCATATATTCAAGCAGAGGTGTTGAATGGGCAACTGGATATATGGGTCCTGAAGTTCAGGGAGAGGTTCAGTATAGACCCATAGCTTTCGGAAGTATTAGCACGCAGATGGTATAAAACTAGATGAAATCGCCAAGCCAAAAAAATAGAGAAGAGGATGAAATGTTGAGCTCTGGGACACTCCAACATAAAGAGAACAGTTAGAAGAGAAGGAAGCATGAATGGAGATTGAGAAGGAATGGTTACGAAGATTGGGAGAAAACCAAAAGGTGTGGTACTCTATAAACCAAATAAAGTCAAGTTTCAAGGAGTCATCGGTAAGCTTTGTCAAATGTTGTGGACAGGTCAAGTAAAGGTGAGTTCTGACCTGGTGATTTTGGTCATAAATATAGTCTTGAACAATATTATCTTTATTAATAAGTATGAGTTTATGTGACAATCTAGGACACCCTATGTACCTCCCACACCCAGATGTCTTTTCTAAACAAAAAGCAGCTCCAGGCATTTCCCTGTATATGAGTATTCTTATTTGGGTTAAATTACTTTACATTCTTGGGATACAACCAACTGATTAAGTGATTGTCCTCTGACTCATAAGCAGCCGGTACAGTGATCTGATCCCATAACTGCTTAATAAGGATGAAGAGTCATTAACTGGACAGTAACTAGCTAGACAGTAACTAATTGACCCAGACTATTAGTGAGACAGGATATGAGAGACAGAGAAAAGGGAGCTAGCAGAAGTCAGCTGTCCACAAAAGCCTCATAATTCTTGAGGTAGTACTCCATGTAGTCCCTGTCACAGCAATGGCACACACAAATGAAACCTCCTGGTCTAGTTCTTTATCATGTCACATTACGGTGGCACACTCTGGCAACATGCAGATTAGTTAATATTTTCCAAATGCTCCTAACATAACTTTAGCCTCAAATGCAATATTTGTTACCTATAGTCTAGATTCTAGATGAATCACTTCATTTGAATAATTTAGCAGAAGGGGAGGTCAGATATAAAAGGCAAAAATAGGAACGACCCAGGTATTGGAACCTGCAGGAGCAAAGGCATGCAAAAGGGCAGTGTGAAGCAATTTTTGTTTTTTTTTTTTTTGAGACCGGGTCTCACTCTGTTGCCTAGGCTGGAGTGCAGTGGTGCAATCTCAGCTCACTGCAACCTCTGCCTCCTGGGTTCAAGCAATTCTTCTGCCTCAGCCTCCCAAGTAGCTGGGATTACAGGCGTGTGCCACCACGCCTGGCTAATTTTTGTATTTTTTAGTAGAGATGGGGTTTCACCACGTTGGCCAGGCTGGTCTTGAACTCCTGACCTCAGGTGATCCGCTCGCCTCAGCCTCCCAAAGTGCTGGGATTACAGACATGAGCCACTGTGCCCGGCCAGTGTGAAGCATTTTTAAATGATTAAAAAGGGTGTGAGGCATATTTGTTTGGCTAGAAGTAGGGAAGTGTATGGAGTAACATCTTGGGATATGGCTGGAAAGGAGGAGGTCAGACTGTGGAAGACCTTAAACGTACTTCAAGACAAGAGGCCTGACTTTCCTCTGCAGGCAATGGACAGCCATTATTTACCAAGATTTTAAAGAGATCTGGATGGGTAATACTGCTAGAACATTAACAGCAGAGCCCTGAAATAACTCAGCATCCCAGGCACTCATCAACAGCAGGTCCAAGTGAGTAGGCTTAAGGTTCTTCAGCCTTTCCATTAGGAATTAGAGAATGTTTATGCAATTGAGTAGGATGCAGGAGTATAACCAACTCATTATCAAAGCAGCATCTCGTAGACACATGCCTATGTGGCTTTGAAACAAACATGGGAGAATGTCAAGTTCTTCCATTAAGTGGGTTGGGGAGTAGAGGCCACCAGCATGAAAGAATATCAAGGTACTGGACAACAATGGGAAGAGGAGAGTAAGTCAGTAGCTGTAGAGTGTAAATCAAGGGAGATTTTCAAAGCACAGGGCAAACCATGCAATTCTAGGGAAGAGGGAAAACTGAGGAAAGGAAGAAGTGTAATAAGAAGCCACCTTCATTTGAGACAAGTGGAGAGAATAAGCAAAAACAGAGAGAGAAATGGGGGTGATTTAAAGCAGTTCTATGTGGGAGTTCTCTACCTTCTCAGAGAAGCCTTGGAGCAAGGTCTTGGGCTAAGAAGGTAGATAATGGGGACAGTTATAGAAACTGTTTAGGAGTAACCAAATAAAATTGTTTTCTTAGAAAAGTTAAATGAACTAATGGGGAGGATGCTACATGTGCCTCCTTCTTAACACCAAACTCTTAGCAACTAAATCCTATGACCAGATAGTAACTTTTTTCCCAAATAGTTCCCTCTAAGCATTACAATTTTTAATTCTGTTCTGCAGCTGTGGACTTTTAAAGGATTGAACTGCATGATTAGCAAATGTTTATTACTTGCAAATGAATTAATATTAAGTGCTGGGAAATTAAACTCAAATATAATTAATCCCAAGTGGAAAAAAATTATTAAACAACACAATTATTAAAGTGTGTAGCAAGTATATATTAAGATCACATATATAAATTTGATATGATAAAAGCATAATATAGAATCTTCACTTATCTTACAGTCTACCAATTAGAAATAATGTGTATGAATAATGCAAAGATCAACTTTAAATTTTAAAAGTGCAATAAGACTATATACAGTTTTTAAATTTTAAAGTTGATCACATAATATGCATATATATGCACATATGTATGTCTTTGGTAATTTTAGTGATTTAGGAAATTAATCTCAAATAAAAATGATTTAAAATGGTTAAAAAGTGTAAGTATATATTAAGATAAGCATATTTAAAATAACTGATATGATAGAATGATAATAGGGAAATCCTTACTTAAAATGTCTTAGTATAGTCTACCAATTAGAAATAATATGTGTATTACTATGCAAAGATCAACATTAAATTTTACACTAAAACTATGTATTTCTGGTAATTTTAGTGATTAATGCTTTAATTAAGAGATGAGGTACATGCAGACATATGCAATAAACTGACGTAATTCATCATATTGAAAGAATAACATGATGAATGCATATGTATATTGTAAATTATACAACACACATGCAAATCATATACTCATTATCACACAGAGGCATTATTTTTCCTACAGTCAAAATGCAACAAATCTTCAAGTATTATTCAATCCACTGAATGACTATTTAGGAACAAAGTAGTTTGCAGTATCTTTTGCAGAATAATAATTTAAACTGAGAAACTCAAGTTAATGGAAATATAGAGCAGACATTTTTAGTGGCTACATCCCTGTGTGAGCTAAACTGGAAACAAGTCCCTGTACTATGTATCTAGTGTTCACTAGTGTCATTTTAAATGGAAGTCTAGACACAGGAGATTTTAATAAGGCCTTTAAGTACACTGCCAAATTAATCCTTATTTATTTATTTACATTGAACAGTGAATACATTGATCATTGACTAGTTGGAAAAATAGCAACACTGGCCCAGAAACAGATTCTCAATGAAAGAGTAATTACTTAAAAACACAACCTTCTGAGATTGATTTGTTTTTGAATGAAGTGTCCTAAAACAAAGACAATTTAAACATGAATATATTTGGTGTCTGGTAATAGCCAGTAAATACTGATGTGTGTGTGCTTGGATGAGAGCAGACTGGCTCTCCAAACCCTGAGACAGGCTAGGCAGGCTGAGGTGACGATGTAAGCTCTGAAGCTCTAGAAGAACAAACTTGGGTTATTTATAAACAGCTACTTAGCACAGAGTCAGGTTAACCTTCTCTGCTGTAATTCAGCTTGGAGATATACTGTTAATTAAGCTTTAGGACTGAACTCAGTGGAAAATAAATGAGCTTTTTTTAAAAAAAAAAATTATAAAAGTTAAAGTAACTAGGGAAGGAATAAAGTACCTCTGGAATTCTTATACCCGACTACATAGTATTAGTATTGTTCTAAGGATGAACAAAGTGTACATGAACATGTTAATTAAAACAAACAGCATATGCACTGATATTTCTGATCATTTTAAACTTTAATTTGGGTAAAAGGACTCCTTTTAGGAGGGGGAAGACTACTATAGATGTTCCTACTTTACGGGTGAGATTGAATCACCATCTGTGAATCAAAAAGAGTAGGCCTTTTAACACTGTTATATACTTCAATGCATTATAATTCTCACTCTTAAATCAAACCTAAAGAAAAATATTTATAAGCTCCACTGTTGTATGAATCAAATATAATAGCTTCATGGATGACTTTTTCTCATCTAGGATAAGAAGACAATACCCCTATTAATATATTAACATGAAGTTTTATAACATTTTTAAGATTTCTTTGAAAAGTCTATTTTACTTTTTAATTAAATCTATTTTCCAGAAAGGTCTTGAAGGCCCTACAAAGTACCTTGCATTTTCTTATTGCTGACAGTTCTTGAAACCACGCTTGAATGCCTTCTTTATCCTTTGCTGAACAATTGAAAGATCATATGCGAAAAGACTGTGCCTTCTCTTTTTCTTGCTCTGTAATTAAGGCATTCTAATACATTTCCTCATAGTTGTTACAAGAGCAAACTGCTAAGATTCATAGATTGAGACAATTTTGATGCCCATGATTATATAAACACATGATTTTTTCTAATCACAGATTTAAAAAATAACAACAGAACTCCTTCAAACTAAATGATTAATCTCTGGAAGGTTAAGCTGAAATGGTTCTTCTTGTATTGTCTTAATGTATGTACACGATTCACAAAAAGGAAAAAAAAATACAATACATTTGGCTAACTAACCTTTAATATAAGTTGAGTAAATGATAAATTCATATTAAGAACACATTTTCTCCAAATCAATGTATATTCTGAGAGTCTCAGATTTTCAGGTTTTCTTGTTGTTGCTTAAAGATGAAAATACTGCATATGTGCTTAAAGTGCCAAGTAAATGCAGGTTTTAAAAATCATACAAAAAAATCAAGATTTTAATTTAAATGTATATATGTATATAAAATGTCTGAACAAAGATGCATCTAGAAATACATTTAGTTTAATAGTCCTTAAGTTGGGAAATTATATCTGTAACTCAAGAAAATGCTTTTGTAAACAGTGATAAAAAACAAAGCTTAAAATATAAGATTTATAAACTCTCTAATTCATTTGCCAGAAACATAAGGCTGAAGTTATACATCAACAATCATTTTAAACAAAAAAATGATTTGTGCTACTATTTAGGAATTAAACACTTTTCAGAGCACAAAGAAGTATGCTAATAAGTTTCTGTCATATTTTGAATAAATGTTCAGAATTTCTTACCCATTTTCTTTATTTAAAAAATACTGGGTTTGCTACTGGGTTAAAATATTGTAAATGGATTTGGTAGTGGCCAATTAGATGATTTTTTGAATAAACTTTGGAGATTAAAAAAGGTTTAGGTTATATCTTATGACTTAAAAACTTATACTGGTGATAAGAAAATACTAGAAAATATAGGATGTTATAATTTTATATTTAAAATGGTACTTTTAGATAATTCCCCTGACTTTTTTTATTTTTTGCAAACAATTTCAATGTATACAAAGCAGAGAGATCCCTCACCTCAGATATCCATCTTCCAGATTCTATATCCCTCTTTAAATCTTTCTTTCCCTATGAACTTATATATTTATTTTATTGAAATATTTAGAGGAAATCTCAGACACCAACTCAATCTACCCTTACATATTTTTGTATGTATCTCTTTTTCAAAGAAAGGACATTTTTTGACACAATTTCATACATAATGCCACAATGGCATTGTCATGCCTAAGAAAATTAATAATTTCTAGGTGTTAAGAATTCACAATAATTCATATTCAACTTTCAATGACTATCTAAAAAATGTGATTTTTTTTTTGTAGTCTGATGGAATCAAGGTGCAACAAACAGGATCAACTGCATTTGGTTAGGATGTCTCTTAAGTTTTTTTCCTAGTACAGTTCCTCCCTTTCCCTGTAAATTTTTTTTGTGCCTTTGTCTTGTTGAAGAAACTGTTCTGACTTCTTTTTCAATTGAATTTGGAACGTCACTGTTGAAGAAAGTGCAGCATTGGGCTGACAAAGTGAAACCTGCCAAACTTCTCAAATTTATTTTTTGGCTATAGAGGGGCAAAGGAAGTCCTGGGACATTTCTGCCTACTTCATGTTCTGAAAGATCTCCATGAAGCCCTTCAGCAAGTCTACCTGTCACATTAAGGAGTCTAAAACTGTGATAATCATTCATAAAATTTTGTGTTTTACAATACTACTGTGACGTAACGAAGTTTGTAAAATAGTTTTTATTTAATAGCATTAAGATATTTATGCATAAACTAAATGACATCAAATAAGCCAATAAATGTTTAGAAATCCCAAGTTTATAAATATCTTCCTTAGAATGTATAAGAAATAATTGAGAATTGTTTTTTAATAATCCTGGGAAAGAAATACAATTTGGCATGTCTCTTAACTTTGGCTTTTGCCCCCATTTTTAGGGATCATTTAGCCAGACAGGCAGGTTTTCATTAAATTTAATTTGTGTGGAGCTTAAATATTAAGTTGAGTTATTAGGATGGTAAACCAATTGATGGCTCTGTCTTTTAACATCTTGTGGTGCACTTTTTAAGAGAGATATATAGAATATTCAGAGGATTAGAAAATGCTGATGAAAATTACAAGTGTTAGGAAAGAGAAAATGAAACTTGAACATATCTCCATGGTATTTGTGTTACATAAAAGTGTAAATTAGCATATATAAGACTGGCTTAATCTTTCTTTGCAACAGCTTTAGCTAATAAAACTTCAAAAAGATCGGTGATGCAGTTTTTGAAAATCTTAAATATGAATGACTTTAAATGGAACCATATGAAGTGAATGACAGTAAAGTAATCGTAGATGAAATTACCAATTTCAAATGAAATAAATTCAAAATGAAAAGGATGAAGGGCAATTAAGTACCTATTTTGACAATTCGAAGTGGTCAAGTTTTTAAAAGTATGACACAGGAAGCTTAACCTATCTATATATGAGTGATAAATGAGGCATTTTGTGTCATTACATTCCCATAAATCACTTTCTTTAACTGCTGATGGCTTTTATCAGATCTAACCTTTTCAAGCTTCTATTAGAGTGCTAACATTTTCAACTTTGACACATGTGCAGTTTACAAATTCTGCAGCTGATTAACTCTGGACAGAAGCTCACTGGCATCATTGTCTTTAAGTTGGGTGAAAGCCTTAGGGTCTCAAAAACTCAGACACTTACATTACAGTACAAAAATCTCCATTAATGTAAGGGGTTGGGCTTTAGAGTTGCCAGGCGTTTGTTTTCTTTTGGGAAACAAATATGAACAAGACTTCATTTTCTATGAAACAGGTGATTTAGGAAATACTAAAAATTAGAAAAAAGAATTCGATGAGCAAGCCTGATAATAAGGGTTAATCATGTATTTTTTTGCCTTAAAATATATATTTTTGGCACTCAAGAAATATTGTTCAAAAAATGAGTGCTAAAGTTTAGTTTTGAAACAATCAAAACTGAAAATCAAAGATTAATACATTTGTGGGGTGAGGGATATGACCTGAAATACAATATAATTTAAGTGAGGCTTTTATACTGATTGAACCATTTTAATGATTTTTATGGAGAGATGCTAAATCAAACTAAAATATATAGCTTAACTTTCATGTAAATTCCCAACATGCTAAATTAAAGGTTGTTTTGGTTAATTCACCGGTCAATTCAGTTGAAAAAGAGATTGAACACTCTTACTCTGCCTACTTTTAAAACAGTTGTATTGAAATTATAAAGACAAATCATGTAGAAGGTAATGCAATTTCTGTTAAAAGTTACTTGTTAAAATACCAAATCTTCACAGGATACTCTGTATACATAAAATTAGAATAAACCACTTATTACCAACATGAAACATTTATCACAAGACACTTTAAAATTATCAAACTATTTGTCTATTAATAGTGTAGGAACAAATAAAGCAAATATATGAAAGCTGTAATCTATTAAATTGCAGACAAGTGAAGATCAAGACTTCACAATATTTTTAATTTTAATGGTCCTAATTTCTTAGTTGAAGAGTCAAATACAACAGTTAAATTGGACACCCTGAGGGTTTTGATGATTAACATGAAATTGTATAGGTAGATATGAATAGGTCAATGTATTTATATAAATAGCACATACATAAATACATGTGAGTAGATGTGGGTTAGTGGGAACAAAGATGTCAAAGAAATGTATTTAGAAAATATAATTGACATAGACCTTGAAATAAAGCTAAAGTTTAAAAAAACACTGTCTTTGATAATAATAACTTGACAGAACAAATCATGATGCTGGTTGTTTGACCAACAGGAGCCTGGGTACTTCAGATAGCATTAGTTTTGATAAGTACTACCAGTCATCTAGCCTAAATAATGAAACCTAGAGACAGACTAATGGCACTAAAGTAAAAATGTTCACAGAGAACCTCCTGCGGCAGATTGCCTCTTGTTGATAAATGACAAATCTTAGAAAAATAGTGGGGGAAGGACAACTTTTTCTAGCACCACAACCCACATAGTCTCATTAAGGCCTATCCATGACAAATTAAAAACTTCTTTATTTCACTAATAATGTCACTCATCACAGGAGCTGGGCAGTTACACTTTGACAATTCAGATGTAAATCCTGGGTTGCCTATGAGTATTCATGACAAAGGCATATTTATCATTTAAAACAAAAGGACACGACTTCTTGGTGTTCATATCAAAGACCAGTGATGGATGAGGCCATGCTAATCAAAAGACAGGCTAGAAAGAACACAGATGTTTGCTACTTTGATTAAGAAAAGACTATTCCCTCCCCTAAAACCTCCCCAATATGGACATTTCAAATGGTTTTAAATGTATAATTTTAAATAGATATCTAAGAATTTAAAATTCTCAGTGATAGCTCTTACAATAAAATATCATTTTTTTCCAACCAAATTATGGAGAGTCTCGAAACCAAGAAAAGATCCACCTACTAGAAAGTACTAGTTCCTCAGTGTAACCCACAGAGATATTTCCACAATTGGTACTGTCCTGAATTATTATTTTCAATCCAGAAAAATAAAGAGAAAAAAGTCTATCATCTCAAATTTTATAAATAGCACAACCGTAAGATGAAATCATTGTTAGGAATTAAATAGAAAACAAGGTTTAAGACATTTTTGCCATTTTTGTTTCTGGCCATTGTGTTGCTGATTTTCATTCCAAATGCTTTTCCAGTTGAAAACCATTAAAAAATAATTGTTTGGCTAGGCGTGGTGGCTCACGCCTGTTATCTGAGCACTTTGGGAGGCTGAGGCAGGAGGATCACCTGAGGTCAGGAGACTGAGATCATCCTGGCTAACATGGTGAAACCCCGTCTCTACTAAAATAGAAAAAATTAGCTGAACGTGGTGGCACGCGTCTATAGTCCCAGCTACTCGGGAGGCTGAGGCAGGGGAATTGCTTGTACCTGGGAGGTGCAGGTTGCAGTGAGCCGAGATTGTGCCACTGCACTCCAGTCTGGTGACAGAGCAACACTTCGTCGTAAGAAGAAAAAAAAATTTTTTTCACATTTTAAGGCTTATTTAAAACCTCAAAGGCAATTATTTCTGGTAATTTTAGCATTCATTACCATTTTGGATGAGAGAGACCAAAAATAAGCGTGGCATTTAAAAAAAAAAAAAAAAAGGAAGAAAAACAAGCAAAGATATTTAGAGGTGGAGCTATCGATAGCACTTCCTCCCATTCCTCTGATGAAGAGCTATCATCAGGGCTGGCTAATAGAAATCCAATTTACAAGGCCCTGCTCATTTGAGTGCCTTTCAAGATGCAGAGGATTGGTAACCCGTCAGACCCACAAACAAATGTCTGCTCTTCCAGGGCAGAACTATTTTAATGTTGGTTACTGGGAAGTCATCACTGTAAGGTCACCTTGAAGAACTGTGAATGGTAGGGGGGTGGGAGAAGCCCACTTCTAAGTCATCTGTTTCCTGCCAATTTTCCTTGTCACTTTTTCAATTCCAGTGAAGCATACTTGTTGATAAGCTTTTAATAGAGTGATGCATGACAAAAAACAAAAAAACAAAAACAATTCCTCCCTCCACATACAAAGCCATATGAGGGGAAAGAACTACCTGTGTATCATAAGAATACTTGGGAGCTTTGTTTTTCCTTTTGGTAGGATCATCTTCCTCTCAAAATCATGGAGACACCAAAGCCATACAGTAATTCTTAGCATGCATATAATCTGTGCTTCTTGTATGGAAAATTTGTGTCATATTAAATGTGTGGCTGGTGTTAGACCAACAAGTGTATTCCATTTTACAATACTGAGTTGTATCTACACATGTACCAGGGTCTACTTTTTACCGGCCAAAGTATTACGTGTCCTACTTATAATAGGTATGTTCTCTTTTTAAAATATATACCTACTTCTCACAGAGAGAGTTAAGAGCTGGATATGTCAGAGGGCTCAACACTCAATATATTAAAAGATATTTATAGAATAACAACAATGTTTCACCTTTTGGCCCTTTTATGAAAAATTTACTGGATGCCTAATATATTTAATATTCAGTAGCATGTGAGAATAATTTTTATGCAACTCTGATATTTAGAAAGATAGATAACTCAATTATTAGATCATCTATCAAAATATTCAGATGTATAAGAGGCTACTAAAAAGATTGATGACTGAGAAAGTCCACTGATTCTCTAGCCATCATATTCATGCATTTGGCCAGACAACATTTTTCGCTGCCTTCACAAGCAAGCTTCATTACCCATCACTCCACTGAAAAGAGTTTATTATGAGGCTGCCATCTTGGCAAGACTATTATTTAGATGATAAATGCTGAGGGGGAAAAAGTGTGTCTACTTTTTTCTTTTTTTTTTTTTTTTAAGAAAAAAGATGAGCTTTTCTGACAGATAAACAGCGTCTACATTTCTAATTAACTTAAATTTGGCAGATACAAATATGGGTCAGTTAAAGCTATGATGTTGTCTTCTGTCTGAATTTTACCCTTAATTTGCAAAATGTAAATTAACTAATTAGAAGAAAAACAGCATGATTAGTGACAAAAATGCTTCAGCTGGGTCTTTGCTTCCTGACATTTATGATCAACTATAATGAATTATTGCTTTTTAAAATAATTGATAGAATATATTTTTTTCTCACCACAATGAAAGAAATTTTACTAAGAATTTATAAAAGAAGGCCAGGAACCTGGCAAAACAACAGAACTTTGTTCTGTGCTTTCAGAGGGAAAGATATATATAGAATGCCATTATATTAGAAACAATTGGGTAAATTTATACTTGTGTAGCTGGGGTGAATTTAGAGGAAAGATATGTATAGAAATTAAGTCGCTGATAAACCCTGTTAAAAGATTGTTTCATATATAGAAAAAAAAATGCCTTATACTGGGCTCTACTACAGTTTATACTGTACTCAGGACTTAACCCTCTCTCTATCATTTCAAATGGATTTGCTGTATACTCAAGCAATTAGTGAGAATAGTGCTGAGTGGTGGGTTGCAATGTTAGATGGAGAATGGTTAGAAACAAGAAACTATCTGCCCACTTGAGTTTCAGCAGGGAAACCTGTCATTGTTAAGTAACATTAATCCATGTAATAGTTAAGTGAAAAGCAGTTTTCAACTATTCCTATGTAGATAAATGTTCTACAATGAGAAGTACATCTACAATGTCAGACATAAATGTCAATTAAAAGTTATACAAAATCCTGAACAGAAAGGTGTGTGGGGGTGGCCACGCTTGGCACAGTGGAGTGTGTGTGACTAGGCCCTGGGCAAGCAGAGCAGGATGGGGGGCTGTCAGTTCTCATAGCACACCATCTAAGAGGTCTGATCTGAATGAGGAATACCAGGAAATTGGAACTGAAGCCGAGTGGTAATGTAGACAGAAGCTGAATGTGCTCAGCTGATAGTGGGCATTAGCTCCCAGTGACATGACACCATTTGAAATGGTGGAGAAAATAGGAAGAGAAATGATTCAAACAAAGATGTATGATGTCTAGGGGTTACTGAAAAGTGCAGTGATATGAGTAAAACAGGTGAAGAGCTAAAACAAATACTTCAAAATTTCAGTCCTAATTTTGGGTATGCCATTAAAATATTTACCTTGGACAAAAGTATCTTAATTTCATTTAGTAGACAGTTATCACATTTGGAAACAAAACCACTGAAATACTTGAATACTCCTTTTTCCAATATTATGACAAATATGTAAACTTTCCACACTTTGCAAAGTGCAATCTAAATGCTCGGAGAATATTATTGCAATTATTTTATATTTATTAGCTGTGGAGACAGCATGAAAATCTTCCTGAATAGCTGCTTCTCATTAAAAAGAGTATTTTTTTTTAAAGCACTTAGGTTATTACTTTTATATTTATAGAAATTCATTAATAGTACACATTTTTCTTCCCCTCTCCATGCCACCATGATATACTAAATTAAAAAATAATATGGATAACCAGTCAAAGCCCCACTTCACAGTAGATAAATCTAACATAGAACATCAATTTATAAATGGCAGAAAATCCTCTTGATAGTTCTCTTGCCTCCAACTAACTCTTCAACCTTTTAACACATTATGTACACAGGAGATAATTACTTCAATTTATCTACAATTTACCTTTATGTACATTAATCTTGCACTTCAGAAGTAATCCTCAAACTTCTGAATTCCAATAAATTGGTTTCTATCAAAAAGATAGACTATAAAACATAAGATAGCACACAGACCTCCTCATTTGTTTAGTTTTTCTCTTTCCAGCTATTAACAATCTCCATTCACATTTGTCATTTTGAAAAACTAATTTTATTTTTTAATTAAAAGCATTAATAGTTCCAAGTAAGGGTTTCAGCTTGATGGTAACTGGAAAAAAAAAAAAAAAAGAGGCAAGAGAAATGTAAAAAGCAATCATTTATATCTATTTAAATGATTTAATATTTCTGTACTGAGGGCAGCACTTTGTGTTTGAGGAGTGTGTTTATCTGTGAAGGAGAAGGAAGGCAAGGAGAGAAATGCAATGAGTGTCAGGTATCCTGACCAAACCTGAGTCCCTCGGTGTTGCAGGAAGGTCAGACCCTTTCAGCATTGTACCGTTGTGTCAAAATACGTCAACAAGCCATCACATTGCAGGAAGAAGAATGACCTTTCAGTTCTTTATGTTTGGGCTGCCGATGGAGCTTTGGATGTGGGGTATGCATGAATGGTTTTCCTAGCTGCTTGACAAATGCAACTCCCAAGGTTTCTTTCAAGTGTGATTGTTAAAAGCCCTAGGTTCGTACATTTTGGTACAACTTTCTAAACCCACATAACTCATGGTAGAAACTGATGTGAGGTTAACTATCAATACCCTGAATAATCAGATTCAGTGCAACCAGACTAAAATTACTTTATAAATGTTCAAATGCAAGAGATGAAGGGTGGGAGTCGGTAAATTTAGAAATAATTTAATTTGCTATGAGTCATAATTATTGTTAATCAGTTCTCTAAACTTTATTATGATGTCATGTCACAAGTGTCTTCTTTCCCTGTTTATAAGAGGCATTTTTCTATTCTCTCCCTCTGAGAAAAACCACTTAATCTCTTTCTACCATGGATGATCCCTAAATCAAACTATCTCTGACCCATCACTCACATTCCTCTCCCACAGCCCAGTTGCCTTTGGACATCTCTAAACATCCCAACTGAAGCTATTGCTAACCTACATTACTTTCTATTCCCAATTCTTTAATAGCATCATTATTTTGCCACCACCAATATTAAAACCTCAAAGTTATCTCTATTCTAAACCACTTAATACAGCAACACTTTTACTGATGTATTGAATGTCGGCATTACTTGACAAATTCTGTGAATCCTGTCTTTATAATCTCTACAAGTCTATACGGTCCCCTTCCATTTCCACTACTACCACTATAATTGGGGAATTAATGGATTATTTCAATATGGATGACTAATAGCAATAGTGTCCCTATTTCCAAATTCTTGTTTCTATTCAATCTAAGCACTGCTACCAGAATATCCATCCTAAAGTTAGGTCCTAATCACGTCACTCTTCTATTCAAAAAACTCCACTGGCTTTCTAGCTCTGTGACCTTGATTTGGGCACTTAACCTCTTCATAGCTCAACTTTCTCATATGAAACAGAGATAAAATACTAGCATTTACCTCATAGGACTGTTATGTGGATTAGAGTGGAAAATACATGTAAGTGCTTAAACCAGCACCTTGAACATAATTGGTGTTCAGTGTTAGCTATTATTATGATCTATGTACATCTTTGTTTCCCTATTAGTTTGAATTAAATTCACTGAAGGCAAGATTAAGTTTTGCTCACCTTTGTATGCGCTGAAATATATAATATGCTATTTCTACATAGAAGTAACTTATTGAACATCAGCTGAATTTAACTGTATATCTATGCCACTACTGATGGGCCAGTTTGCTAGAACTTGTTGCATTAGGAATACAGCAGGCCAGCCATGGTGGCCCATGCCTATAGTCTCAGCACTTTGGGAGACAGAGGTGGGAAGATCGCCTGAGACCAGGAGTTCAAGGTTGCAGTGAGCTACGAGTGCCCACTTCATTCTAGCCTGGCTGACAAAGTGAAGCCTTGTCTCTAAAATAAAAAATAAATAAAAGAAATATGAAGTAGTAAAAAATACTTCACATTAAACCAATGAAAGGTAATTAGGGCTCATCAAATATTTTAATCTAGTGTTGAGTTCAATATGGCTTTATATACCTGCCATTAGCACACAACCAATGACTTCACTTTTAATACCTTCTTAATCAATATGGAGTACTCTTAAAATACTGCAGCTGGTTATCAAAGATGACTAAAATAGCCTCCTATTTATATGAGTTGATGAATCCTAAAAAAAAATCCTCTTTACTAAATAAAAAAAATTGGCTTTAGTTTTTAACTTATGATCACTTGGAATGAAATACCAGCTATAAGATTAAATTTAAAATGGTGGTAATGGTTAGCAAGCTGCCAGCAACAAATGGGAAGGAAACAGCAAAAGGGAATATATAAAGAGAAGCAAGAAAGGGTTAACAAGACAATTTGCTAGTACAATCCTGTGTGAGAAAAGGTGACCAAAACACAAGAAATATCTCAATGTCAGGGATTCAGATAGAAAAGGAAGAAAATTAAGAGAATAGAATTCACACAGATCTTAAGAGTAGATTGGAAGAATGTAAGGGAGAGAGAAACACACACACACACACACACACACACACACAAGTGAATGTAATTGACTTGTGTTAATGAATAAAGGGAATTCATAGGAGAAATTTAATTTTTATAAGAATTTGACTTCCAGAGTCAATTAGAAATTAGAATGAAAGAATGTTCACCATTGCCATTACGTATCCATGAAGATTTCTGTTTTATGAGAAGAGTACGAGACATGCGAATTGCATTCATGACTCATTTTCCATATTCCACATATGTGAGAAGAGAATGAGCACAGGCAAACCAGGGCAATGTAGCCTCATCACTTATACATTATCCATTCCAGGAGATACCTGAATGATACAAAACATCAGAAGATGCTTGGAAATGGGAACATATGCTCCTTAAAGGCAGAGGAAATGAAAAAGCATAGCTGCTGTGAACAGGGCTCTGTCTCACCAAAATATGGCCTGCTTTATTTTAATCCAAGAGGCATAAGAAGCCCTGAGTGCTACCAGTAGATAACCAAAGAAAGCTGCTTTCTAACAACCGTATGCTTATTATAATCCTTGGCCTTGAACATATTAAAGACTGCCCTTTTGCTGGGCATAAAGTTGTAAATGAAAAATCCCATTCCAACTCTCAGAAGCCTGAGGGAAAGAGAGGTAGAATATATGGATGTCTGAGAGAGAGAGAGAGAGAGAGAGAGAGAGAGAGAGATCTCAAAAGAAAGTAACCTGAAGGACTGCACAGTACTCTCTTTCATGATGACAATGAAGTCTATAAGTTAAATGGATTTAATAAAGATACAAAGGTTAAGATTACAAGGTTAATTTTAAGACAAACTGGTTTACACAAATCTGTTAAACTATGTGTTAAAATCATAATTGAAAGTCTCCTACTTGGAACCAAGTTAGGGTAACAAAGACTAGATTAGCTCTCTGTTCAAAGTTAAAAAACAAAATAGATGACATAACAGTTTTTAAACACTAGACATCAAGCAATGAAGAACAGTAATCCCAGAGTGATGGGATTACAAAGAGTGAGCCATTTGATTGGCCCAGCTTAACAGAGTTTCCCAGCTGTGATGTCCAAATGGCGAGCCCAGGTGAAGTCCAGCAGTCTCCCTGAGTTGAGGAATTGTAGCTAGAAGAATGGGAAAGCCAAGGCAACTAGAGTTTAAAGGGCACAATATCAGCAGGAGAAAGCTGCCCACAGAGACAGACAGACAGACAGAGAGAGAGAGAGAGAGAAATTCCAGGAACTTAAATAGGTCTCCCTCAAGTATTCAGAAGAGTTCTGATAAGTGCATATATGTAAAGACACAGAAAACTTGAATGACACAAACAACCAGTTTGACCTAATTGACATTTATAAGCCACTCCAAAAACAAAAGTGGAATAGTTTCAAGTGTACATAGAAAATTTACAGAGATAACCACAGTCTGAGCCATAACATAAATCTCAATACATTTAAAAGAATTCAGATTTGTTCTCTGATCTCCATGCAATTAAATTAGAAACCAAACAGAAAGATATCTGAAAATTTCTCAAATATTTCAAAACAAAACAGCATACTTCAAAATAAGTGTGGGTCAAAGAAGAAATCAAAAGTAGAAAGTATGTGGAACCAAATAAAAATGAAAATGCAATATGTAAATATTTGTGAGATACAGCCACAACAGTGCTCAGAAGTAAATTTATTGCATTAAAATGTCTACATTGGAATAGACAAATGGGATCTAATTAAACCAAAGAGCTTCTGCACAGCAAAACAAACTACCATCAGAGTGAACAGGCAGCCTACAGAATGGGAGAAAATTTTTGCAATCTACCCATCTGACAAAGGGCTAATACCCAGAATCTACAAAGAACTCAAACAAATTTACGAGAAAAAAACAACCTCATCAAAAAGTGGGCAAAGGATATGAACAGACATTTCTCAAAAGAAGACATTTATGCAGCCAACAGACACATGAAAAAATGCTCATCATCACTGGTCATCATAGAAATGCAAATCAAAACCACAATGAGATACCATCTCATGCCACGTAGAATGGCAAGCATTAAAAAGTCAGGAAACAACAGATGCTGGAGAGGATGTGCAGAAATAGGAATGCTTTTACACTGTTGGTGGAAGTGTAAATTAGTTCAACCATTGTGGAAGACAGTATGGCGATCCCTCAAGGATCTAGAACTGGAAATACCATTTGACCCAGCCATCCCATTACTGGGTATATACCCAAAGGGTTATAAATCATGCTACTATAAGGACACATGCACACGTATGTTTATTGCGGCACTATTCACAATAGCAAAGACTTGGAACCAACCCAAATGTCCATCAGTGATAGACTGGATTAAGAAAATGTGGCACATATACACCATAGAATACTATGTAGCTACAAAGAAGGATGAGTTCATTTCCTTTCCAGGGACATGGATGAAGCTGGCAACCATCATTCTCAGCAAACTATCACGAGGACAGAAAACCAAACACTACATATTCTCACCCGTAGGTGGGAACTGAACAATGGGATCACTTGGACACAGGGTGGGGAATATCACACTCTGGGGCCTGTCATAGGGTCGGGGGAGGGAGGAGGGATAGCATTAGGAGAAATACCTAATATAAATGAAGAGTTGATGGGTGCAGCACACCAACATGGCACATGTATACCTATGTATCAAACCTGCACGTTGTGCACATGTACCCTAGAACTTAAAGTATAATTTTAAAAATAATAATAAATAAATAAATAAATAAATAATAAATAATAAATAAATAAAATGTTTATATTGGAAAAAAATGAACTAAAATCAACAACTTCAGTTTTCCACCTTAGGAAATTAGAAAAAGAAGAGCAAACTAAACAGAAATTAATACACAAAAAGAAAATAATGTATGATTACACACCAATGAAAGAGAAAAAAGAAAATCAATATTTAATAAAAAAACAAATAAAAAAATGGTTCGTTTAGAAGAACAATAAAATGGATAAACCTCTAGGCAGATTGATCTAGAAAAGAAGACACAATTATCAATATCAGGAATTAGAAAGGAGACATATCTACAGACATTGAAAGATAATAAGGGAATATTTTCAACAAGATTATGCCAAAACATTCTGCAACTTAGATTAAATGGACAAACACTTTGACAGACTCAAAGTGCCAAAGCTCATTCAAGAAAAAAAAGGCATAACCTGAATGTCTTATAACTACTAAGAAATCGATTTTATAGTTAAAAATCTTTCACCAAAAAAATACCACAGGCCCAGATGCTTTGACTGGGGAATCTCACCAAAAATTTAAGGAAGAAATAATAGCAATTCTGTGCCAACTTTTCAAAAAAATTAAAGAGGAGGAAATGCCTCCCAACCCATACTAAGAGGCCAGCATTACTCTAATACCAATACCAGATAAATACTTTAGAAGGAAAAATAAAACATGAACCTGTATCACTCATAAACATAGATGCAAAAATTCGTAACAGATTTTAACAAATCAAATCCAGCAAAATATAAAAAGTGTATTGCTTCATAATCAAATGCAGTTTATCTCAGGAAAGCAAGGTTGGTATAACATTAAAATATCAATCAGTATTAATTCACTATATTGACTAATTTAAGAAACTTATATGATCATCGTAATAGATGCAGAAACAGCATTTGACAAAAATCCAACACCAATTTTTGATAAAAACTTGTAGCAAACTAGGACTAGAAGGGAGTTTCTTCAACCTGATAAAGGGCGTCTACAAAAACCTATAGCTAACATCAGTCTTTTCTATTTATTTTAGAGACAGAGTCTCACTCTACTGCCCAGGCTAGTGTGCAGTGTGGTATGATCATGGCTCACTGCAGCCTCAAATTCCTGGGCTCAAGTGATCCTCCCATCTCAGATTTCTGAGTAGCTAGGACTACAAGTGTGTGCCACCATGCCTGGCTAATTTTTTTTTTTAATAGAAACAGGGTCTCACTATGTTGCCCAGGCTGGTCTTGAGCCCCTGGCCTCAAGAGATTCTCCTGCACTGGTCTCCCAAAGTGCTGGGATTACAGGCTTAAGTCACTTGTGCTCACCCCTAACATCATTCTTAATGGTGAAAAGATCTAAAATCTTTCTTCTAAGATCAGCAGTGAGGCAACAATGTCCATTCTTACCATTCACTTTTGTATGAAGCAAAAGCAAAAAAAAAAAAAAAAAAAAAAAGCATACAAATTGAAAGTGAAGTAAAATAGTCTTTATAAACAACATAGTTGTCTATGTAGAAAATCCTATCACTTCCACCAATGATGTAAACTATTAATAAATGGGTTTTATTGCAGTATAGAAAATCAAAATACAAAATCAATTGTATTCCTCTATAGTAGCAATGAACAAATGGAAACAAAACTATCATTACTAATATTATTAAGAACTATGAAGTACTTACATCATTCAATCAATACAAAAAATGTGAAATTTGTGCACTGAAAACTACAGAACAATTTCTGAGAAAAATGTTAAAAGACCTAAATAAATGGAGAGATGTCAGGTTCATGGATCAGAAGATTCAATATTATTAAGATGTTAATTCTTCCCAAATTGATCTGTAAATTCAATGTAATCCCAATCTAAATCGCAGCAGGCTTTTATAGGAATTAATAAACTGACTCTAAAATTCATATGGTAAAAAAGATCTTGAACAGCAAAATGTAACTTTGAAAAGAATAACAAAGTTGGAGGACCTACTATCTGTTTTCAAAATTATAATGTTACAGTAATCAAAACAGTGTTGAATTGGTATAGACAAACCGATGATGGAACAAACAGAGAACTCAGAAACAGGCCCACACGTATATGAACAACTGATTTTTGACAATTGTACAAAGGTAATTTAGGTGGAGAAAAAAGAGTCTTCTCAAAAAAGGGTTCTAGAACCATTTCTACATGCAAGAAGCTTATATCCAGAATACTAAAATATAAAATAAAAATGCACTACCAAAACTCAATAAGAAAGCAACTCAATTAACTAATGAAGCAAAGATTTCAAGAGAAACTTTTCCAAGAAAACAGGCAGCAAATAAACATAAGAAAAGATTCTCAATATAATTTATCATTAGAAAAATGCAAATTAAAAATCACATTAACACATTTTTACACAACTATTAGGAAGCCTTGAGTTAAAAAGACTGACCATACTAAGTGATGAGGAAGATGGGAAGCAGAAGGAACTATCATAAGCTGCTGGTGGGAATATAAAATGGTATAACCACTTCAGAAAAGAGTTTAGTCATTTTGTAAAAAGGTAAAAATATTCCCACCCTATGTTCCAATCATTTCATTCCCAGGTATGAAATGATTACATTACATCTTTACTCAAGAGTAATGAAATCATGTTAATATTTTACAAAACTGTTCAGATCAGCTTTATTAGTAATAGCCAGAACTAAAAATAAGCCCAATGTCCATCAACAGGTGAATGGATAAATAAACAGTGGAACAGCCATGCTACTTAATGCCTCTCAGCAATAAAAAGATGAACTATTGGTACATTCAACATATATTATCCTGAAATAATTATGCTGAGTAAAAAAGGCTAGACAAAAAGAAGTACATGCTGCATAGTTCTATTTACATAAAATAGTAGAAGCAAAGTAATCAACAGTCACAGAAAGCAGATCAGTGGTTACAGAGGTGCAGGGAGAATTGAAGGGATTAGGAAAGTGGATTATAAAGAGGCATCAGGAAACCTAGGGGTGGCAGGTATGCTCACTATCTCTATCATGGTAACAATTTTATAGGTTTATATAAAACATTAAATTGTACTCTTTAAATATGAGTTTATTCTGTGTCAGTTATACCGCAATAAAGTTGTTTTTTAAAATACAGAATATAGGCTCTCGAAGAACAGAGAACAAATGGTCCATTTTCTCCAACCACATTAAGGTGAATATCTAAAACTTGTATGCTGGAGAGGGTTGTAGTTTTAGCTTAGCAAGCCCATTAACTGACAAAGTAGCCTCTTCCAACGTATTTACCACCATGACAGACATGAAGCTGCCGGTGGAGTAGAAAGAGCATAGGTGTGGAGTTCACAAAGAGACTTGGGTTCAGGTGCTGCCTCTGCAGTTTACTGCTCAGTTCTCACTGTTAACCCCTCAAAGGCAGGGGCTGAGTCCCTACTGCCTAACACAGTGCCTGTAAATGTTTGCTGACCTGGACTTGTATTTCTTCATAAAGCAACTATTTCATGAAGACTCTGTTTGGAAGCAGATAAGCTAAGAATGCTACGGCTAGCTAGCAAGTTGAGGCTCGGTAAAGAAGAGTCTGACTTCAATGTTAGATACAGACTAACCTCATCATAGTTTTCAAACAGAACAACAACAACAAAAATCCCAGAGTCCAGGCTGCACTGCACACCAATTAAAATAGGGTAAAGCCAACATCAATATTTTAAAAACAACCCGCATGTGATTTTAACACACAGTAAACTTTGAGAACCATTAAGCTAGACTCCAAGCCTTTTTAGTATCAATTTTGACCTGATCTCCATTATTCTAGAATTAGCCTCAGAAATAGACTCTGTATTCTTGGGTTCTTGACAATAACTATACTCCCGATATTGGTAAACTCTCATTTATTTTTCCCTTACCCTCTCTGGATGATCATAATGGTGTGTTTCCATTCCTAGAACGGCCACTCAATCCTTTGCTTGTTGGTTTGGTTTGGTGTAAGATTTCTGAGCTATACATGACTCAGATTAACTTTGTCATAGTGGGTGTCAACACGAAGTCATTCTCTCAACAATTGTCTGGTCCCCTGGATTTGTGAAACTGGTCAATATACCCCTCTTGTAAAAATCTTACATATGCTTGAAAAGAGTAATCATTTAGATGTCTTTCTAGCCAGAGAAACTATAATTCATTGACATTCCCTTATAGATCTGTTTTCTTTGATTTAAGTCATTCTAGTTTCTCAACAATTGTCTCCTTATTACGAATATCACTCTAAAGGCCTAAGATAACATTTCTATACTTTGCTCAGTTTTGTTAAAACCAATGAATGATGGCAGAAAATATGAATTCCTCACTTAGAAAAGTCTTGTTATTCACATTCAACATGCTGAAAAAATGATACTTATCCATTATAACCATTATGAGAAGTCATTTTTCTCAAAGTACTCTATACACAGAAAACACTTCCCTCATCCTGATAAAATATTTTGAGGTTACTCCAGCTAGCAACAGTGTCAAGTATCTGTCTGGAACAATGGGACATCAATATCTCACAATCAACTCAATTTTAAGAGATAGAAAAAGCAAATCATATTTTACCCTTATCGAAGCCCCCTTCAGAGCATTTGCTAATTATTAGTCAATCTGTCACTTGTTATTGCTACTTGATAGTATACGGCAGCAGTGCTGCTTCTGAGGCTGCTGTAATTAAAGGTTTGCAAGAGCTTCTATTGCTAAGGCACATACTCCAACTTAAGACAGATGTGATCAGCCTTGTTTTTAACAAGACCGAAATAACTGGAAATCTGTGATTTGGCTAATTGCAGGGTTCCTGAAAGTATCTTAATACAGGAAAAACTTTGGCCATGCTCTGAAAAATATCTTCCTTAACTCTAACTGGTTGGCATTCCCATTCTAAATGCCTCTCCTCTCAAGCTATCACAAACCAGAGAAAGCAACTGCCAGACCATTGAGTAAATAACTGATCTTTAAAAAATACTTAGAGGTATGAACTAAAGTCAAATCAATTCTGTGGCAGAAGGTATTAGCTTAGCATTGCCTTCAGGAGAGTAGACTCTCTGGAGCCAAAGGTTCAAAAATCTGACAGATAGAACTCAGCTCTTAATCGTTTCCGTGGTACATAAATGTGATCAAGACCATATTTCCTCTGGTGCTCATCTCGCCTCCTATCCTAACATCAGAACAAGAAATGGCTTTCAAAGATCTATGCACTTGCTTCATTTAATACTGTCCTTTAGAGCCAATCAAGAGAGGTCCGTGTCCTGCACCCAAGCTTTAGGTAACTCTGCTCTGGCCCCTGTCTAGTTATATCTGAATCCATGAAGTAAGGAGTTTATGGGGCCAAGGAAACATCCCCATCTGACACCTGTTCCCTCAACCAGTTTCTAGGCCACATTCCAGGTATCAGTGACCTCAGAACTTCCTGATCTTATAGCCCCAAGACCATTCCCAGGGCCTGGAGGGCCCTTTCAGGTTCATTCACCTGATAAGAGGGCAGACAACCAGAGTGTGCAACTCTGGCCTGAGAGCAGTGGTTCATGGGAATGTACGTGGAGCTTGGATATGCAGGCTGGGCATGTGCTTGACACCTTTCCAGGTGTAGGATGGAGCTGAGGGTGGGAAGAAAAGGAAGGCAGGCTGTGCAGTGGGACCACCTCTCCCTGCACTGACACACGGAGCCTGGAAATCCAAGGAATCTAGGAATTCTTATGCAATTCTAAACTTTCAGCTCTTCATGTAGAATAGAATATATTTTATTTAAGGTCTGTTAACTTAATATGTAACTTTACATATTTAGACACATAGTATATAAGGCTCCATTTGTACTCTTGCTCCAGGCCCAGTTTCATGCAACCCTTAAAGAAACTAGAGTTTATCCTCTGCTTAGAATTTTCACGGTATTCTATGTCAAATTTCAAATGAGAGAACTGTCTGAAGTTTTGGGAAAGCAACCGACCAACATAAGATTATACATATTTATCTAAAAACCTTTATAAAGTGCATTTGTCATTTAGTTCTCAGTTATTTTCTGTTTTTAAAAATCTTTATGTTAAATACATTTATGCTCTATTTCATGAAATAGGACTGCAAAAGTCTACACATTTGAAAAGTGCGTAAAAGTTTTTCAGAAAAATCAGGCATTTTCCTCACTATACTTCGAGTTGAATTCTCAAAGAAAAAAATTTGATTGTACTAAGGCTTAATGTCACAATGCCTGACAAATTCCTCAATGGCCGATTCAAAACATTATTGTCTGTCAGACATCAGTAAATACAATCAATAAATATCTACTATCACCTACTATATGCCAGATTCTGGACAACCAAAGATGGATAAAACCAGTAGATAAGATGGAACTCAACATTAATTGGAGGAGGTTGACAAGTAAACAAGCGATGACATGTTTGATAGATGTTACGAAATTATTAGCAAAACGCAGGAGGCGCATCAAACCCAATCCTAGAAGGCAGGAAGGTTTCTCAAAGAGATGTCAGCCAAGCTGAGTGCTGAAATTAGCTGAGTAGTTTATGTGGCAAAGAAGGCAATTAAAAATGTCTAGTCGGAAGACTTCTAAACTTCATCAGTGGTATACAGAAAAACAGGCAGAGGGGAACTAATATTTTTTTGACTGCCAGGCACTGTGAAAGTGCTTTGCATATATTAAATAACTGATCTTCAGAGTAATAGGGCAAAAAAGGTTTTACTCAGTCCATTTTATTGAGGAGAAAACACAGTAAGTTGCTCCCAGTCATGGGACCAGAAAGTGGCATACTCTGGATTCAAACCCAATATTCCTCCCATTACTTCAAGGATCACTAAATTGAAAAAACAAATTTTGCCCCATTTGTTCCAGCCAAGAAGCTTAGATTTTCTTTGAGAGAAGCAGAGAGGTATATCAACAAAGTGCACTTTGGTTTTAAAGAGATGTCTCTAATGAGAACGTGCCAGAATGTGACTGGAATGGCAGATGGAGGGGCTGAAACTTGCAGTTGCAATTTCCATGTTCTTGATCAGTGGTTGTTGGTCACTGTTCATGTGCTTTATAGCATATGGCTCTTTCTCTGTCATTTAAGGTCACTCAATATTTTCATTCAAACTGACCCACTTTATCTCAAACCACCAAAAGTAAGGACAATGTGTCTATCCCTGCCTCTTTGAAAGGTCACACATTAGAGACCATATATGTAATCTGACCTTAGACTGGTAGAATTGGTTTCTTTCTTTATAAGTCATCATCTCAGTATAAAAGTATACTTAGTAATAGATGCCAAATTGTCAAAGAACTCACCTTTTGATTAGCGAAATAGGATTAGAAGACTTTTTGTGTGTTGATTTCATAAGGAAATGTATTTTCTGGTAGCCTTATATAATTTGGGGTTATATTTATGGTCCAAATGCTTCCCAGAGGCATTCTTTATCTCCTTTAACTCTGTAGAAGTAGAGACTACAGAGTTTTGAGTAGTTGTTTAACCAAGGTTCATAACTGGGTCTTGGGATGGAGATGTGCTTGTAGGAACGGCTGCTTATGTTCTTTACTCAGTAGCACTGATTTTGGGGAAGATGACTACATTGTAAAATTTAAATGTTTTCAAGGTTAGTTAAGCTGAGTAAGAATATCAATTTACTATAAAAGAAAACTCTTATAGAAATGTTAATCTAAAAATTGGTGGCTCTGTAGTTATTTGTGTGGGAAATGGATTTATACAAAAGCATTAGTCTAGGCCAGGTGCAGTGGCTCACGCCTGTGATCCCAGCACTTTGGGAGACCAAGGAAGGTGGATCATGAGGTCAGGAGTTCGAGACCAGACTGACCAACATGGTAAAACCCCCTGTCTACTAAAAACACAAAAATTAGCCGGGAGTGGTGTGAGGCACCTGTAATCCCAGCTACCTGGGAGGCTGAGGCAGGAGAATCACTTGAACCCGGGAGGTGGAGGTTTCAGTGAGCCGATATCACACTACTGCACTCCACCCTGGATGACAGAGTGAGACTCCATCTCAAAAAAAAAAAAAAAAAAAAAAAGCATTAGTCTATAAATAGTAATTGAACAGTCTTATTGTAAAATCCAATCTTTAATCTGAAAATAGTGGGACAATTAGGTAATATTGGTTTTTATATAAACTAGAGGCTTATCACATGAATAAAGCAAAAAGCCCAATTTCTAACCAATAGCCTCCTTGAAAGGCTACCTACAGGTGGGAGAGAATTTCTTCCAATTCTGAAGAACTTTAGAAGCTGCTAAAGTTATATGCTGAAGAACTTTAGCAATTGCTAATATACATGAGTTGTGTTGAGGCAAAATGCGAGAAGAGGAGGATCCCATACATTCACAAATGGGGTAAGTTCTCCTTCTGTCAAAATACTCTATCACCGGTCAGCTTGTATCATTATCATATGTTACAAATTTTATATATAAGTAAATACCCCAAAGTTCCATTTCAAACCTGGGCACTAAATGTTCCTTTTTGAACTTGCATTTCTTGGCCTCTCTGCAGACCTTTGGTAACATCAGTGACTTCTGTGACGTTTACTCCTTAAATGATCTGGACCATTTAAAACCAAGGCTAACATTCCCGTATCACACATCATGCCCTAAATGAATTATGCTCACTTAGCCAGTATATATTCAAACAATGTGCTCAGGGAATGTAAATCAATAGTAGTCTAAGTAAAACATCACCAGAAGGGTAAAAGTAGAATGCAACAAAGTGATATAAAATCCAAAGGAAATTGTATTAAATTATCTATCACACAGACATCCTCCAGGCATGTCAATAATCCCTAAATCTATCATCTAGGTGACTAGATTATTTAATCAGCCTCTAAATGGTGAATGTTAAGTACACAGTAGGTATTCAATAAATAATTGAGTTGTTTTAGAAGAAAGATAATAATTTGGAATTTTGAAGTAAGCTCTAGTATTTGGGATTTGGTTTGTAATTTTTCCTTAGAAAAGATATGACTGGTACCAAAGCTGGGGAAACAGTCTGCCTCCCTACTGATTGAGCTTATCAGTTTTTTTTAAAATACTTTAGCAACCTAAACTTATGCAATTTGATTTTCCTGTCATTGCTTTCCCTATACTTCCAAAAATGATGCTTTCTTTACTATTTCAAACTCATCATAAAATTGCTAAAAATCTAAAATTCAATTTGCCACATTACTGCTAATTTGAATAATGGCTGAATAAAACACAGGAAACGCTGAAACAGCATTGATTTCTAAAACATTTTGCACTTTCCTCCTCCATCCCTGTAAAGTAAAGCTCGGATGCCACGCACAATTACACAAGAAAATCAAGAAAGCTATTACATTCAGCATTTTGTCATGATCATTGTTACCATGGCAAAAAGTGGGCTTAGTTTAGCACAGCTGCCACAGGCGAGGTCCACTGGCCTTTTGTAAAGCTGAGTAACAATATAATGCCAAATTCTGTAGCTGGTCACTGTTTTTACCCTAGGACAAGGCTATTACCCACAGATGCTACTGTCTCATTCCTTAAGGATCTGAGCCAATGTCATTTTATTATTGTATTCTTACTGTTGGCTGGCATTCCTGTTCTAAGGGGGAAAAAACATGTAGTGTGAACACGGGACTGCAATAATAGAAAAAGCCAAAGTTTGGAAGGTTGTATTGTAAATGACAATAGGGTTGTGCTGGAAATCACACAGATTTGGGAGTGAGAGATAAATGCAGCCCCATGATAACTAGCTCTACAGCACATCATTTTCTCTATCAGCTTAGTTATCTGTAAAATGGGGACAAAAGTAACTTCCCGGACATGTGGTAGATAAACAGTAAAATAAGACCCTCCCACTCCTTTCTTAACGCTGAGATTTCCATGTCTTTGGGAACGTTAATATGAGTTGGTAGGTAAACTATTCTCTATTCTTGGAAGGTGTATTATTTCCATCTTTCATATCATTTGGCTACTTTCCTCAGAGAGCTGAGGATAAATTATTTTAAGGTCTGAGTAAGCATAAATTTCACATCAAAAGGATAAAAGTTCAGTGTCAATACTGTAATATACACCACATCTTATTATCTGTATTTTAAGTGACACCAATATTATTGTAAAATGAATGAAAAATGGAATATATACTAATTTTGACCTTATGCAGAGATTTTTAGTTTTAAAAAATGAAGCAACATTATGAAAGCAGAGAAGTTTAAATTATCTGAAATGAATACATTAATCAAAACTCTGTATTTACTAGAAACAACGGCTACTAGCATTTTTACCAGCTAAACAAAATATTTTTTTCTAATGAGATTTCAGCTGAGTATCGTTTATCTTAAAAGAAAAATAATGAGACCTTACCTATTCCAGTAGCTCCAGAACTGGTCATGCAGGTAGGCGTGGTGGCTACATTCATCACCAAATGAGGCTTTGCTTTCAATCCAGTGAATTATGTGCCCTTCTACAGCTAAGGGACAAAGCATTACTAATATACGGAGAAGGGAGGGGAAGATTGAAAATTCTGAACTCTGTACAGGCCTCTCTATGCTTCACATTAATGAGCACAGGCTTAGCCCTTACCATCATCTATAAATGTAATTACAAAACAACACACTGTATATGTTCATTACAAAGAACATTTATGTGACAATCATATCCCTTTGATTTTCATTATATTCTTCAAAACTCCCTTTCCTAGTTCTCAGACTGCCTGTATAACTCGACAAGTGCCATGTCAAGCAGACCAAAATGAGTCTGGCTTTTCAAGAGATCTATGTTTAAGGAATTTGAAATTTAGAGAAATAAGTTGAAAATGACAACCAAAATATCTTTAGAAAACATGTTTATTTCTCAATATATGCAAAAGATTTTAAGACAGATTTCTTCTGAACCTATTATTTTCTGCTGTTTAAAAGTAACATTTTCCAATTATCCACCCATTTATAATATTATAAAGCTAATATTAACATAAAAAAATTAAAAAATACATCCCTTTTCTCTAAAAACAAATGCATAACAGAGTTAAAGAACTTACCAACTGGTACTTGTAAAATGAAGTCTGGTGTTTTGTCATAACCCTTTGCACGAAGCTGATCTTCATCTACAGGAAGAACAAACACTATTTACTTAAAACACTATTCAATTAACAAGATAGGAATATATTTGTTTTTATTTCTTAAATATGTATAAAAATTACTACTGTAGTCATACATATCTTTCTTATGCATGCAGTGCTGTGTCAGAAATAATGAACTTTCTGAACAACACTGAAGCGTAAATATGCTTCAGATATGCTTCTTTCATTATTTTTCTGCATGTTTTCGTTATTATAAACATCACGAGTTCAAGCTGTCATATACTACCTTTTTTGTAATTGAAAGTACTCAAAATAAGGTAATATACTTACTGATTTAAAATAAAGGCTTTCACCACTGTGAAAATTACAAATGTTATCAGCCAGTATTGAAAATTTATAGTAAAGGGGCAAGCACAGTGGCCTTCACAGTTATGAAAAAATGCCTTCAATAAAGCAATTACGAAAGTTTAGTTTCAATTAGTGAAACTATTCCCACACACAAGAAAGAGACAAGGACAATGAGATCGCCATAAAGAATTAGTTATCCTGCTTAATTCCTTTGGTATGCTATTGTTTCTGACATTTACCTGAGTTTTATAACAATATGTAATTCTGAAAAGCAATTTTAAGGCTTTAAGATTTTTTTTCCTAAGTCTGTTTGATTTCTTAGTCCCCTGTAAATATCAATGATCTATTAGGAAGGAAAGAAGGCAGGAAAACAGGAAGCTTGACAAAGTTGGGAAAAACTAGAAAGGTGATTGTTTAAAAAAAAAAAAAAAAAAAAAAAATCCACCAATATTTTCTAAATGCTGTCCTTGACTTCTAATGGCAGTACAATGTGATTTCTGAAATGGGGAGTTCTCCATTAGATTTTGGAGTGACCTGGTCATTCAATTCCAGACATGGCTTTCTGTCTTCACCCAACCTCAACTAATGGCCCGACCAAGTAACAAGGAAGGCTGTGTGGTCTCTTAACACCTACTGGGCTGTTGACATTGTCATGCATCCCATTCGCCTTCCTGCATCACCTTTGATTAAAATTAATGGCCCATTCCCAGTGTTGGGTAGCTTATTTCCAATCCATTTGTCAGCCCAAGACAGTGGTTTCATGGCCAATGTTCAGAAACTCTGTTTTAGAACACTCTTGTGCACAACTTGAAAGGTCAGCATTTCAAATGTAAATAACCTTTTAATGACAAGACACATATTTAAAGTAGACATTTAAGTTAAATTTTGTTAAAAGTCAATATCCTTAAGCTGTCTAGATTTTGAAGGATTGGTGCCAGTATTCAGAACAATCTCCCCTCCTTGAAATATAAAAAATCTCAAGTTAACTATTGAGATAAAGAAATACAGATTGAAATAATATGACTTTAAAAACAAGAGAATTTGGAAAGTGAGCTGTAGATGAAGAAGATTGGACAAGTTTCTGTTCTGTAACTATACTCTGACCACAATGAGAATATTTAATTAAAATCAACTCCAGTGCCTTAAGCTGATGTTTCCGGTAGCTGATGAACAGTTTTAAAAGCAATGGTGACATTGAAAAAGATAGATTAATATTTCACTAAAACTATCCTAGCTTCATCAACCTTTTCAGATGTTAAAATCTGCTTCAGAAAGAAAAATGATTACGTTTCTGATAACAGTGCAAAACAAAATTTCAAAGGTCACCAAGCAATCCAAATGCACATAAAAATCCCTTTAAAAGACAGATGCTGCACTCCTGTTCACTGCACCAAAATTACTAACATAATATCTACAATTTAAATTGCATGGGTGACTTAATATGAGAATTAACAATCCCAAACCTCAAAACTTAAACACAAAACATCAAGTGTGGCTGGGGATCCTTCCCATCTTTTTGTGGTGAACTTCAACAAACTACAACTGGCTCGCTCTCTCTCTTTCTCTCTCTCACATACACACACCCCTGTCTCTCTTTCTCCCTCCCTCTCACTCTTTCTCTCTCAACATGAAGCTGATTCAGTAATAATTGTAGCCAAAGGATAGCATCTGGAAGTCTTTGTCACCATTGGTGATATTAGACTTCTAGTTTTTATAGTAAAGATGTTATGCCAAACATGTAAAATGCTGTGTATTGGGTATCTTCTTCCTTTAATCTATTTACTAAACTCTGACTGTCCCATCTCCTCTGTTTCAACCTTTGGCTTGCTTCCTTCATCCTAGATCTAAGAAAGGACGAGGTAACAACTTGGCAAAGTTCAGATGAAATGATGGTACCAGGGTAGGAAGCAGCATTTCGAAACAGGTGGCCTTGTTCACTGTTCTAGGCCCCAGGACACTTAATGCCCCCAAAAGATGAATGAGTAAAATACAAGTACACGTTTAACAGTATCCATGTCTTTACAAAGCCTATCCAGACTGACAATAATTTCCTTTCTTAATTTAATTCCCTAATTATCAACAAGGCACAAAGGCACCAACTAGGCTCAAAGTTCAAGGTTTTATTGGAGAACTCTCACTGTTATCTTTCATCCTTGGTCCCAACTGTCTGTTCTACATGTTCATCTGAGGTTCATCTCAATTTTGTAAAAAAGACAGCATCTCTTTCCTTAATACTGATGGGAAAATTTTTCTTTGAAGTCAACCTTTTTTTTTGTTTTTTTTTTTGAGATGAAGTCTTGCTCTGTCGCCCATGTGGGAGTGCAGTGGCGCGATCTCGTCTCACTGCAACCTTCGTCTCTTGGGTTCAAGTGATTCTTCTGCCTCAGCCTTTCAAGTAGCTGGGATTACAGGTGCATGCCACTATGCCTGACTAATTTTTGTATTTTTAGTAGAGACAAGGTTTCCCCATGTTGGCCAAGCTGGTCTTAAACTCCTGACCTCAAATAATCTGCCTGCCTCGGCCTCCCAAAGTGGTGGGATTACAGGCATGAGCCACCATGCCTGGCCTCAAGTATTTTAAATAACACTGGACCTATCCACTCCTTAACATTTTAGTAGAATTCCTCCACAAAACCCAATCTGTGCCTGGTGCCATTGTTGGGTGGGCAACTGTTTTTTCTTTGGCTACTGATCTGTTGATATATATATCTCTTTTATAGTCAGTTTTACAATTTATGTTTTCCTTGAGAATCACACATTTCATACAGGCTCTTATAAAACTGCATATGTTTGAGCCAAGTAGTTACTTATGATTCTTTGAATTTTCTAAGTGGAAACTAGATGTTTAAGTAACATAAACTGTTTCTTCAAGTTTCACTGTTTCTTCAACAGTAATATAAGATGTTTTCTTCAAGAAAAAAATGATAAAGATTAAGAACAAAGTAAAAATAATATTAGTTAGAATGAAAAAAAGGTAATGGCAATAATCTGAAATAGTACTTTTAGTATGACTTCCACAAATGGTTGGGAATCAATATGAAACCAATCTTCAAATCCTTCCTATGTGTCTTATTCAGCAACTACAGTAGATACAAAGTAAGGGTCTTCTGGTTTAAGGTATATATTTAAAAACCCAATATATTTTATAACCATTAAGTTCATTAATGTCATAGTTCAAGTGCTCATTATCAAAATTAATATAGGAATATTATCACTTAAAAGCAGACCTGTTAACCTTCAGATTCACAAAACATAGATTTTTAGATAATGGTTGCCTCAGAAACTTTTCTGAACTAGCAAAATTGTAGAGATTACTAGTCCAACATTCCAATTTATACACAATATAACTGGCCTAGAGAAGTTAAATGACCAAACAAGACCTAGACCTCTCAAATCACTGCAGATACAGGATATGTGCCCATGTCAACCAAGTTGCAGTTGGTCCCAGCAGACCATATACCATTCTTAATTATGCAAATATTTAAATTTGATCAAATGTAATATTTTTAAAGTGGGGAAAAATTTATTTTCATCTTGGAAGATCTTGAAATGTAAGAGAAGAAGACTGCCATCTGTGAGCTATTTAGACAACACCTGCCTGAAAAGGAGATGAACTAGATAGTATCTTGTTTTCTAGCACTTCAATGGTCCTCTCTCCAATTTATCTTAAATAAATCAATAAAACCACATCCAAAGATGATGTTAATTTTTAAAAACAACCCAGGTCTTCATTCATTTTTAAGTTGTCAGGACTGTCTTTAGAGGGCATTTTTTAAAAAGAAATTACAGACGCATAAAGAACATTCTGAAAGTTTAATTTCTCTGGCCTTTGAATTACCCTCTTCTCCAAATGCCCAAAATATCCAAAGCAATTAAGTACTAATTACACAATTTCTTTTCTTAAAATAAAGAGCTGATTTTGAGTCAGCGAACAAAACACATCTGAAACTAGTTAACATATACTTAAGAATCACAGGGGGACATGAGGTCCACCAAGAAAAGGTTTGAGGGCTTTAAATTTGTTTTGTTTTATTAAAAGTTTTACATTTTAAAAGTATAGTCATTTCCATAAAAATCATGCAGAAATCCAGTTCACAACATCTGAAAATGAAAAGTCACATTCTGACAGGGCTTTTATCTATGAACTTGTAAAAAGTTTTCTAAAATGCTAGATTAAAATACACTGTATGATAAGAAGAATATTATTAACACCTAGTGCATCTTTACTAAATTGGGGGAGGGCAAAAAGACATGTATCAATACATATTAAAACTATATTTTTTCTACTCTAGTAACTAATTTTGTTTTATTCTGGTTTTTTTTTTTTCAAAACACTGTATCACTCAATATTTGGAGTTATGACCTTCATTCTCTATATTTTTATGTTCTCTAAGAGTAAGTTTCACAGCCTTTTCTATACAATTTAAGAAGTTTGCAAGGTTTCAGTAATAAATATTATATGTTATGCAAACTGTGTGCAAAGGTACACAGAACAGGCATGCATTTAATGGGGAGACCAATAGCACCGATAAATGAAATCTTTAGAGAACCCAAAACTTCATTATAGCCGTTAGTTTCAACCTCTTCCCCCAAAGCCTCTTATCAAAGCCACTAACAAGGAATACAACTGACTGCTCTGACCTTGTCCTTTGCTTATGTCTTTAGGGGATAATACTAGTGAAAATTGAAGTGCCTTATAGAAAAAAAAGGGGAGGTGAAGAAGCTGGGACAGTGTGGAGAGGCTAGGTAGGCAACTGGTAGCTGTGGAAAGGCAGAGGACACGAATATGAGCAAAGAAAGTAAAATTCTCCTATATTTTATACCAGATCATGCTAAATCCTTTTCGTTGTAGATGAAGGGACAAATCAACATAGTAGAATAAAAAGATACAGGACAGGTTGTAGGGAGGGTAGTAGCTGTGATGCAAGGCCAAAGGACAATTTATTTAATCAAAACAAGTGGATTGGACAGTCACTAGAGCCCTTTCCAATTCCAAGATTCAGAGGAAAGATTGACTGTTAGCCTTTGTCTGCCCTGGTTCTTTTTAGCTGTAGTCACTGATGTTAGAACCTCTTGCTGGGCCAGCTCCATGTGTCGCCGAACCAATCTCAATGGAGAGAGGCATACTAGCAGTTCTGAGACACAAAAAGGATCTCCTACACAGACAGATGTGCACATGGGTGAGTGTGAGCCAGTGCACCCATGCACAGGACCAAAGGATTCAATTCAGCAATCACAGTAACGTGTTTGACCCCCAATGCCTTTGGTTATGGTGAGCAAAACCCTAGCCTGTAGTTAATTTTCTGCAGGGAGAGGGAGATTTTTTATTCTGCTGTCCTGTATGTTATCCTGTCCGGCATTGCTACCCTACTCTCACAATGTGATTCTCATGAGTGGGCAGTAATGTGACCCCAAATCACCCCGCCATAGGGCTGGACACAGACTAGCTGATCAGATCCCTTTCTGATATATATATATCTGATATATATGTATATCATATATATATATATCTGATATATATATATATGATAGATCTATCTGATATATGTATATATCTGATAGATCTATCTGATATATGTATATATCTGATAGATCTATCTGATATATGTATATATCTGATAGATCTATCAGATATATATATCCCTTTCTGATATATATATATCTGATATATATATATATTTGAGACAGGGTCTCACTCTATTGCCCAGGCTGGAGTGCAGAGGTGCCATCATGGCTCACTGCAGCCTTGATCTCCCAGGCTCAAGCAATTCTCCCATCTCAGCCTCCCCAGTAGCTGGGACAACAGGCGTGCACCACCACACCTGGCTGTTTTTTATTTTTTGTAGAGTGGACGTTGGGGGAGTGGCGGGGAGTCTTGCTATGTTGCCCAGTCTGGTCTCAAACTCCTGGGCTCAAGCAATCCTCCCACCTCAGCCTCCCAAAGTGCTGGGATTACAGGTATGAGCCACTGCACCTGGCCCTTTCTGAGATTTGTTATGTGGCAAAAGAGAATCACTGACTTTGCTCTGGGATTATAAACTCTAAGGATTAAACAAACTGGCAATCACCAGCAATCATCTTTGTGACCTTGTGAGCTAAGAATAAAGCCAACACAGAAAAGAGCAGAACCCAAAAAGGACAAAAGATATTAATGATATTGTTTTGCCTTCTGGATCCTATTAAGAGACACAGCAGAAGCAAATCTCTCCTCTGGACTTCCCCAGTGTATATTTAAGCCAATAAATTCTCCTTTTTTGTGTATATAATCTAGTTTGATTGGATTTCTGCCACTTACAACCAAAATAGTTCCAATAAATCATTAGTGACCCAAAAGCAGATGACCCGTGGACATGAGCTAACTACCAAGAGCAGTGGTGAGGGAGGGCCAGGAGCAGGGAGCACACCATCGTAAGTGGTCACAACAACCTTTCTTCAAAGTTCCAGGGAGCTGAATCTCAAATTCAGCCGATAAGAAAACAAACATCCAGAAAGCATTTCATCTTCCAGCAGCATATGCATTTATGGTCCTTTTCTCAGTGCCAGGGAGAAGCATGCACAAGCACATTCAATAAGGGGAGTAAGTAAGAAAGTCTCTCACCATGACAATCTCTTCAGAAAGGGGAGAACAGAGCCCAAATCCCCCACCTCCCACCCTCAATTTCATGTTCCTGTTACTCTAAAAACAGCATCATATTTTTAACCTTCGGATAGACAAGAATTTAAATGGTGGATTCCTTATGAAATACCCAGCCATCTCCATTCCCTTCAGCCTACATAATCGTATGTTCCATTTCTGGTCTCTTACTCTCTGCCACTGACATCTGCGTGTACACACAGTCTTGGTATTCTAAATCTCATCTGCTCCTGCTGCCTGTCCTTCACCTGAAGTCATAATCCCCTGTTTGTCACATCATAATCACCTCCCCAGCAGAGTATTATTGCTTCAGGTGAGGAATAAAGCAGCAGGGGCAGATGAACTCTTAGAAACAAAGATCCTAATTTCTTACGACAAGGGACATCCTTCACTAAGCCTATTTGGCTTTACAGATTATACTCTCTCAGAGTCCCACAGAGTAATACACAAATGCTACACAAGCACCCCTGTAAAATTTGCTGGTTTGTCCAAACATGGGGGCGAGGGTGAGGCAGGGGCACAGCAAATGCCTCCCAGGTGTCACTCAAAATAATTGTTAGCATCTACTAACAGGGAAACATTCACTGGAAAGAATAAAATATCTCCAGAACCATTCTTATTAGGCCAGACTTAACAAGAATTTGCACCAGACAGTGGCTGTGGCAGTCACTAACGGAAGTCCCTCCAACCTGGAGATATGCCAACCCATAAAAGATGGATGGTTTATCTTCAGTCTTTTGTATGCGCTCTTTCATATTTTAGCTAACAGGGCAAACTGTCTTGTTGTCTTTGCATTGTCACTATTTTCTTTTCCTTTCCTGTCTTTTTGTCCAAAGCTGCTAAAAAAAACACACAAAAAAACACAGCAAAATACGGTCTCATTAATCACTTGAGAGATACTAGTTAACATGTCTCTACCAGTAGATGAAATACATTTTCTATTTTGTCTGCTAAGAGTGAACCCTTAGCAGAGGTAATGGGATGATCACAATGCTTATGGTTCAATTTAACGTTGAGGAGTTTTTTGTACAGCTAAGCCTAGGAGTAGGCAGCAAGTTCGTCACACCTTTTGAGACTTTAAATGCTCATATCTATCTATCTATCTATCTATCTATCTATCTATCTATCTATCTATCTATCTACCTACCTATCTATCTATCTATCTACCTACCTACCTACCTACCTATTTTAGTTAGAGACAGGGTCTCACTCTGTCACCCAAGCTGGAATGCAGTGGAATGACCACAGTTCACTGTAAACTTGAACTCAAAGGCTTAAGTGATCCTGCCACTTTGGCCTCCCAAGTAGCTGGTACTACAGGTGCCTACCACCACAAAATTTTAAAAAATTTTGTGTAGAGACAAGATCTCCCTATATTGCCCAGGCTGGTCTTGAATCCTGGCCTCATGTGATCCTCCTGCCTCAGCCTCCCAAAGTACTGAGATACGGCCAAAAAATATTAATTCTAAATTAATTATCCTTGGAAAGAACTGCTAACATGTACTGAAACTTATCTTCAGTTTTCCCAGAAGGCTCCACGTTTGCATGAACTTAAAAAAAAAAAGTTTGGTTCTTTAAAATTCTTAATGGTGTCTGCCCACAGCAGGCTTAAGAGTAGTTAGCTACTGGCAATAGAGCCAACCTTATGAGCTCAACTGGCCATCCTAGATATATACTGTGGCAGGAAGGTCCCGGTGAGAAAGAACAAATGAATAAGTAAAATTCCATCACTATTTCAGGAAAAAGCAGCTCATGAGGCAGCAGCATTTTCTTCATTCATAAAGGATAGTGATTGATGTTGAGTATAATTTGTACCTTTCTTTGAAAGGTTTAATGGAAGTAACCTAACAGCCTTGAGTTTTTATTTTCATTATCGAGACAATCATGTGAGCACCTACTAAGTGAGATGCATTCTCACTGGATTCTCACTGGATCAGAGAGAAAACTGCATTCTCATTGGATCACACATGCAATACGGTGCTTGACTATGAGCACTGGGAGCACAGAGTGCTTATAATCAATCACTTTGTACTAACTAGTGTAGTTCCTGGCATGCAGAGAACACAACAAAAGTTAATTGAAAAGAATGAATAAATAATGAAGGGAAGAATTACATGGACTCTCAGAAACTGTTAGAAATTATCTGTGTTCATTGGTAGCTTGTCTCCCTACTGGACCATAACCCCATGAAAGCAGACACTTCATCTGACTTATCTAGTGTCTAAAACAGTATCCAACTTAGTAACTTATTTGTGGAATAAATGAATAAATATGCACATGAAAAATATTTTCTAGTTGGAGAAACTAAAGTCATTTATTCAACTTTGACCTGTCTTAATACAATATACTTATGTGTGGAAGTACAAATTGGATAAGTTTAAAAGATAGGATGAACTCCTATCAGTACATTCAAATCTTCAATGATAAGAACACTTCTGTTTTTCTTTCCTATAGTTCCTGGCTAGATCTTGTGCCATAACAACTGCTCAGGATGTAGTTATGAACCAAGGACATTTAAGAAAGAATTAGTAATTTATTTTTCCCTTCAATTGTTAAGAGTAAAGATAAAATATGCATTTTATAAAACAAATATAGAGCACAATGTGTGGCAAATTTAGAATGGGGTAAAATATTTTAGGGAAAGTCATAATTCTTAAATTAAGAAGGGTTAATATATTAAAAGATGAGAATATTTGTCTTTTGAATGCAGTCCAAATTAGAAGCCAACAGAGAGAGAGAGAGATTTTACTTCAGCTTAGCAAAGGATCAAAATAAATTAAACATGTTTGCAACATCTCTGCAACAAAATTCAAGGTGTACACATGTAAACAAGAAAGACTAAGATTAGTGGTCTGTTTATTTACCAATATTTTTTCCATAGTTGGCTTTAAAATGATCTATCTAAATTTACCTGTCACAACACTTTAAATCTAATTAATCTCTGTGAAGGGGTATTTATAAGGTAAAAGGACAACAGCCCCATAACAATATTTCATACAAAGCTTTCAATTTTCATTTTTCAACCACAAACATATGTTAATTCAGTGCTACATTAAAAATACAAAGAATTAACAACTTCTTTATAGGTTGATGAGGAAATGCTTTAAAACAGGACTCAGGTTGCATAAACTTCCTATATTTCATTTATTTTTAAAGATCAATTAAATATCCTGTTTGAGTATGCTTCCATAAAATAATTACCTCTAGATTCTACAGCACAGAGGAACAGATGAGACCCATCAATTTCAAGTTCCCTTTCTGTACTTGTTTGCAAGTAGAGATGATCCCCAGACCACATTTTTACATTGCTTTTGTCAGCCATGGTGAATCTAATTTAACACGTTCAAGTTCAAGTAAGTTGAGGACTAGGACTAAGTTTAGCCCACATCTACAACCTTTGCTTTTTTTCCCAGCTGGGATTGGCTAGTTCTCAAGAAGGAAGCAGAGAAAAGTTAGGCCAAACAAAAAAATGGGGCTGAAGGCCTGACTGTCCACAGGCTGATGGTGCCCAGAGAGTGGTGCTAAGCAGCTCTGACAATGATGCTGCTTAGTTGGTGGCTTAAAACAAAACAAAAAATAGACTTGGCCATGACATATAGGCCTCTATCTGAGTAATCAATGTGATCGGATGTTTCACAATACTATCAGAACTACCTGGTTCCAAAACATATCTCATAGTGCATCACAGGTCACTCATTCCAACTGGTTCTGAACTATTACGTATTTTCCTTTTGATTAGACTTTTAAAAGGTGATTTCTTCCAACTTACCATCTTTCCATAGGCTGAACAATTCAACTGTCCCCATATGAAAAACCTTGCTGCTTCTACATACTGAAATTTAATTTAGTGACTTGAGAACACTTGCTTAATTAATCAACTTTATTTAAGCCTAACTAGGGAATATTTATGATATCTCCAAGCTTCAAATTAAAACAATCTTATAATACATTCAATTTTATTCTACAGTTTATTAATAAAAACATTGAACATTAAGATTTGGAATAGATTCTTTGTAGGACTTTATTAAACATCTCTTCCTTATTTGACATTTCTCTGCATTTGGTTTGGGCCAATTCTTTGCCCATTTTGGAAAAAACCTTATGTAATCCAATGTTGTTCTATTTTTTGTGTATGTCCTAAAATAAACATCATGCAGACTCTTCAATATCTATATAAAACAGATCTGTATAATAATAAAATGACTTGTATGAAACCTTTACAAATTACCATATTTAAAGTGGAGAAGAGAAATTAATTCATTGTAGAGTGCTTTATGGTTTCTGTGATCACTTATTATATGTATAGTCCTTTGAGGCTTAATTTCTAATGCTTAAGAGATGTTGAAAGAAATAATCTGTAATACACAAACACATGAATACATGTGGGATTTTTAAAAAATCATAATAAATCCATGATGCCAATGAACGTTTGGCATGAAAATAAAGGCTTAATATTTTGCTTTCAAGTAAAAGTACTACCCAGTTCCATATATGAGACAAATATACCCAACATGAATTTTTCTAACTGTTCTTTTTAATATATAAAACATTTTATAGACAATATTTCTTTTGTTTCCTTTTCTCATAAGGGCTAGATTATGGTTAATATCTCATGACACCAAAAGTAATACTGCAACAGATATTAAAGCATTTTTTCAGCCACTTATTCTATAAAATATTAATTGCAAGCTTGTGCATGTGCTGTATATATAGGAGATTAGGTAACTGAGTTCCTGCTCAGTTCCAAATCAATAAAAGATAATATGCACAGCATCAATCATCATTCACTCTTCCTTTAGTGGAAGATTTTTAAAATATATATTTAAGCACTCAGGGAGACAACACAAGCTAGAGAAGATGTGAATAATACTTACCTAGGAAGGACAGGTTTTTCTCTAGAAGCAAGTCTCTCAGCAGGACCTCATGCTCATGACCAATGGCACTGGGAAGTTTCAGTTAAGGGGGTAACACAGGCAGAATTATACCAGCAGGAAAACGCTAATACCAGGTCTATACTTTGAGCAGCCATTTTCACCCTTAGTCCACATCTTGGAGGAATGAAATCTCTACACACATCCCCTCATTTAAATAATTGGATAGAATTTTTCTATAATTTTTTAAAACCTTTTTTTTTTTAATAGAGACAGGGTCCTGCTCTGTTGCCCAGGCTGGAGAGCAGTGGCACAATCATAGCTCACTATAACCTTGAACTCCTGGGCTCAAGCAATCCTCCCACCTCAGCCTCCTGGGTAGCAGGGACTACAGGGGTGTACCACCCACCACGCCTGGGTAATTTTTTTTTTTTTTTTTTTTTTTTTAGAAATGGAATCGCACTATGTTGCTCAGGCTGGTCTCAAACTCCTAGGCTCAAGTGATTCTCCGACCTCAGTCTCTCAAAGTGCTGGGATTACAGGCATGAGCCACTGTGTCCAGCATTTTCTATAATTTTTATATATATTTTGGCAAACAAAGATTTGTAAATGGATGTGTGCTTGTATTTTGAAAAGAAGGAGAGTCATTTTAAATGTACTTTAATCTGTGTTAAAAATCTTCCAATTCAGCTGGGCAAGGTGGCTTGCGCCTATAACCCCAGCCACTCTGGAGGCCGAGGTGGAAGGATCACTTGAGGCCAGTTGGGTAAGGTAGCAAGGCTCCCGCTCTTAAAAAAAATTCTAAAAAAATTTTTAAATTAAAATCCCTCAACTCAATTTAGCATACATTTATTAAGCACTTAATAGGTACAGTAAAGAATACTAGGCAGTCTTTGCCCTAGAAGAATTCCTAATCTTAGAGAATTCTGTAAATCTTCTGTGAATTCACATTTGTCATCAGGCCAACATTTAGAAACTTCTTTGTTTCACTTCCAGTCGACTGTTGTTGAACTTTTGCCACTGGCAAGCCAAACAAGTAACTTGTTAAGAATATATGTAATCTGCAGGAAAGACATCTTAGTAAAGAGTTGTGGATTAGGGTGTGGGTACAGAGGCTGTTTCAAGAGTCTTTTTCTCGTGTGTGTATGCGTATGCATGTACATGTATCTAAATAGATATACATATGAATATATATTTTTTCAGTGCTTACTATGTGGTAGGCACTGTGTTAAGTGCCTTTAGGATGTTATTTTATCCTCATAATTACAATCCTTATTTTATAGATGAGAAAACCGAGGCCTAGAAGGAACCTGCACAGGGCATACAGTTAATGAGTGGCAAATAAGATAACAACAAGATCCCTGTCAAGTCTATGTTTATGACCTCCATATAGCTTCTCAAAAAGTATTAAAATTATGGAATAATTGATAATAGCTAATATTTCTTAAATATAATGTATGAAGACTTTGTACTAAATACTTTGAGATACCATCTTATAATAGCCACACAAGTAGATACTATTATTAGTCCCCCGCCTCTTTTTTTTTTTGAGATGGACTCTTGGTCTTGCCCAGGCTGGAGTGCAGTGGCACAATCTCAGCTCACTGCAACCTCTGTCTCCTGGGTTCAAGCAATTCTTCAGCCTCAGCCTCCAGAGTAGCTGGAATTACAGGTGCCTGTGACCACGCCCAGCTAATTTTTGTGTTTTTAGTACAGATGGAGTTTTACCATGTAGGCCACGCTGGTCTCAAACTCCTAACTTCAAGTGATCTGCCCATCTCAGCCTCCCAAAGTGCTGAAATTACAGGTGTGAGCCACTGCACCCAGCCTTTTAGTCACATTTTTACAATTAAGGAAAGTAAAGTTCAGGGAGGCTGGGGAATTTGCTGAAGGTCCCGTGGCTGGTAAATAATGAAATCAGGAGCAGAACATGGAAGTGCTGTGTATTTTCCAAACAGATGAGATTGCCCAAAGTCTGAAAAGGAGTGTTATCCTAGTCTAGTATTTCAACTGACTCAAAAGCATTTGCATTTGGTAATAATTATGTGAATCATTACCTTCATTGTCCTTTTCACTGATAACGTCAACCTGGTCACGTCACTCCTTGGCTTACCAGAGAAGCTGATTCTGATCATGCACTGCACGAGTTCAACTTAAATAAAACTTCGTTATTTATTAAAAAAAAAATTCCTAGAGAATTATCTTGCATTTTACCAATACATACAGGTGAATATGGTTTAAATCTTAGAATTCAAGAGATGTGGCCATTTATGTTCCAGCAAAACATGCCCTAAGTCATCATTATTGCCTTTTCCTCCAGTTGTCCCTTGCCTTCCAAGGCACATGGCTGTGCTTTTTAAATTTCTAAAGAGAAACAAAATAAAGGAACACATTTTTAAATCACAAAATTTCACAAATTTTCAGAGTCCATTGAAGACATTTGATGAATAACTCTCAATGGTCTCTCATTACTAGGGGCATCCCACACTTTAGAACTAAATTATTTACTTCTATTCCACATAAATGTGCTCTCATTTTTATTGTTGTAAATTATTTACATCTAAAATGTTGAATCATGAAACTGAGGTCTCTGATGGTACAGAAATGAAACCCACAGCATTTGAAGCTTCCTGCATCATTACCTTTCCTTGCTTCATAGTTTATGCTTTTGTCTAATAGCTGTGTCCTGGAGTCACACTTTGGAAAGTTGAGGTGGCTGGTTTCTCACATTTTTTCCTTGGTGAGTATAAGCTGTGGTGGGAAAGGTGTAGGTGGGCATGGCTGCATAGGAAAAAATACAGTAGATAACAAAAAAAAAGAGAAAGCACAATGATGATGTATATACTCTTTGCTAACTGTGCTTTCTGTGATGTCTTACTAGTAAATGACCAACTTACTTTATTCTACTTACACAAACATAACATTTTCATAAGGCACTAAGAAGGTTTAGCACCTATCTTATTTACTGAATGTGTGCTTTCTTTCTCACATCATGATGTAATTTACTGAGAGTAAGCAATGTAAATATTACTAAACTATCAGAAAAACAAACAGCACATTTACTCACATGGAAAAACAATAATTTTTATTCAGTGTGAAATAAAATAATTATGCTGATCAGTCTAGGAAACATCTATGCAAGTGCATTTATACATTATATGAAACTGCTACTACTTCAATGCAGAGACAACATCAGTTTCTCTGTAAACTTCCCAGCCTGTTTTATTTTGCATGACAAAAGCAATCACCAAGTTGAAATTTTGGAAAGATATGTTTCTTAATTATGCTTTGCTTGATATAAACATATATGAAATGCAAAGTCTAGAAAATAAAACTTATAAAATCTGTAGTTTTACTGGCAACAGACATAATGAAACTGCAAAAATTATAACCTAGTCGGTGAATGTAATTTATAGACATACGTCATTATCTTTATCAATTGAAATCATGTACTACATTAAATTCTACTGGCAATAACACAACCAAAAAAGGAAAGTGAATGGTGGCAAAAATGTAAGGAAAATACTCCAGACAGAATTTATAATGCTGTATAAGCAAAAACACTTAGACTTTGTCTATAATAATACCTATTATTGATGTATGGCAGTGACCATGGGCAAAACTTGTAAATAACCTCACAAGCCATTTTCTTCACCAGCAATACAGCAATCTAGTTTCCCGTAAGCATCTCAACTATTACTGAAAAATAGCCTCCTGGCATTTACAAAGCAGTTGACTTCATACTTTAGTCCGTGCATACATAATTAGATAGTTATATTTAAAATCAATATGCAATCCTTCAAAAGACATTATGCTTTTAAAACCTTAACTTTAAATTGATTTTTAACTATTTTATGTGCTTTAAAATTAACATGTAATTCAACCCCAGATACTCTGAGATGGTGTTAGTTGATATATGAATGTGCTAAACTTTCTCAGTGTTAGCAACATAAGGTTGGTACTCCTACAGTTTCTAACACTATCATTAATTTTATACTGAATATAGAAGTACAATTTCACTTTGGTTTAATAAAAAGGTGAGCTTGGGATAATGCTGTGTGTTTTTACTAATTTAAGCTAGACTGGAGAAACAGACTTGGAGGAGAAATACATAAAGGGCTGTATCTTCAATACTGAATATTCTTGTAAGAGGGCTCTGTTCAAAGGTTATTCATCAAAGATTAACTTTACTTATATAGGCATGATTTTCTTATTAAAAATGTTACGACTCTAAGCCTTTGTGAAAGAAGGTGGAATATAAACACATACATGTACACGATTTGACTAGCAGGAGTTTCCAACAAAAAGCCTCCTAACTAGTAATTACTGAGTCACAATTCATCACAGTGCCATCCATGCTAACAAAATCCATACCAGGAGGGACATGTTTATATTATTAAGAGGGGTGAAATTCATGGACTCGGATAGAAATTATTCTCATAAAAATTACTCATTATTTACCATTTAAATAGCACCTTTGAGGATTATCAAAAACCTTGCTGTTGCCACAGTACTACTAAATTTATTGATTAATAATGTCCTACTTTATGTAGTTACTGTCTGTTCAATCTTGTTTTAAAAAGTGAACATTAACTCTTTAGTAATCTCAATGTCTTTAATGAAAAGTGACTGGACATCTGTTTTCACAACCTTAAATGTATTCCAGGAGGAAAAATTAACTTGATTTCTCTAAAAATGTTTATTAGGAATCCAAATGCCGGCTCAGATTGTAATCAGCATTTAAGCAATAAGAATCTGTTGCCTTTAAAATGTGATGTCTCTGGAAGCATTTTAATCACAACCTCCTTTAACTCCAGGCTCTAAATTTATTCTCGTAAATTCAACAAAATTTGGCTCATTTTAAATGGAAATTTGTTATATTTTTAAAAAATGTTTACTGGGATGGGTAGATACATTCCAAGACATTACGTTACCTGCCTAATGACTCTGTACCTGTAAACTCATTGAAAACCAGGCAGTTTGAAAGAAGCATGTGAATGTGTGACTGCTGAACTGACATCTTCCTGTGGTCTACCTGATATTTCTTAAGCTGTAGAAAAGAATGGTCTGTAGTGACCCTCCAGTTGATTGAATGTAAAATAGAAGAGTATGAAATGTGTTTTGTGAAGCAGAACTTTATGTCAGGTTAAAGCTAGACACATCTCCACTGAGTCTAAGCTCGTCAATTGCGCACCTAAAATTTTATGGGAAAGGATACTGCTTGATGCAGTCCACTAGTGGTCCGTAACAGCAGTCGTTCACAATGCACTGCAGACAAATAAGAAAAGGGGTCTGGGGTGGGGCGGCTACAAAAACTATTACAGTAAACAATATCCTAAAAGCAGTAATTACTTTTCTTCCCCCACCCCCGCCCCCCAAAAAAAGAAAGCTATCAAAAGGCGGTTCGGATTTAATCACAGAAAACAAAAATTGCATGCTTTTTATTCACTATAAAAGCAAGCTATTAAAAAGTGAAATGCTCTTCTCGCAAATACTGCATTGCCATTTATGGTGCACCCTGACCTCAGTGATAGTTTATGATGACAGTAATTAAATGAGGTTTAAAATCCTTTACTCTGCTAGGCAGATAACAGCATTGCCACTGAAAATAGACAGCTGTGATTAATACCTGATAGACCTGATTTGCTAGAACTCCATCTGGAATCTGAGAAGGGTCCCGTAGCATACTATTTATAATAGACTTGGAGGCTGTAGAAGAAAAGAGATGAACTGTTAGCAGATAGTCAACATACTTTTAATGCAACATGAGGAGTGACATATATCTACATATACACAAACCATGAAAACAAAAATATGACTGGCATTAATCATTTTTTCCTTTTTCTATAATCTAACAGAAGCTTTTAATTAGACCATTTTGCCAAGTTTATAAGCCACACTACCAGATTTGATGATGACCTAATTTTTCCAAGGTAAATTAACAAGTACAGACCTAAAGCATATGTCTCTTTTGTAGATAAATAAGCTTCCGAAAAGCCCATTTGGGGTAAAAAAAAAAAAATCAGAAAATATTTACCTTTTGCAGGTAGTTATTTTATAACCAAGCATATGTATATGAAGAGTTTAATGAAGACAGGTCAGATCTGAAGTCTTTGAATCTGACCTGTCTTCACTAAACTCTTCATATACATATGCTTTAATTATATCAATTAAAATGGCTTTCAGCCATGAAAGAATCTTCTAATTCTAAACCTTTCCAAAATAATTCTCATCAACTGCCATAAAATCCTATCTCCATTCCACAAGTGAGGAAAGTAGGTAAAACTGACTGAATTGAGAGAATCTTAAATAAGGAAAATATATACAGAGAGAGACACACACACACAAGTTTTCCACCCAAAATATGCCTCAACTTGCAAATTAAGTTGAACCCCAAGGGAACTGCTATAGAAGAAGAGGGGGCACTAAGGGAGGCATCTGATGAAGGTGCTATAGCAAGTGACATCCTTTGGAAAGCAAGGTAGGAGATCCTGACCTCGCTGCTCACTAGGCATGTGGCAGCCACAGTAGCCAGAATTCCTTTTAATGCATGGGAGAAGGGCAGGTCTCTAGGCTGAAGCTAAGTCACGTGTTGCCTAGGTATCGATTATTTCAAGGCCTCCAGTGGAATTATTCACCACAATTTAGCAAAATGGCTTATGGTCTGATCCACACAAGCACAAATTAAAATGCATACTGAATAATTATCTAATTATCATCATTCAAGTTCTGAGATAATTTCGGGTCTAACTTGTTTTCTTTTAAGATTATGTTCTTTATCAAGCTCTATACTATAAGAACACTGATACATAAGATAAATGTTAGTGGCCAGGCGCGGTGGCTCACGTCTGTAATCCCAGCACTTTGGGAGGCCGAGGCGGGTGGATCTTGAGGTCAGGAGATCAAGACCATCCTGGCTAACAAGGTGAAACCCCGTCTCTACTAAAAATGCAAAAAATTAGCAGGGTGTGGTGGTGGGCGCCTGTAGTCCCAGCTACTCGGGAGGCTGAGGCAGGAGAATGGCATGAACCCGGGAGGCGGAGGTTGCAGTGAGCAGTGATCGAGCCACTGCACTCCAGCCTGGGCAACGGAGCGAGACTCTGTCTCAAAAAAAAAAAGAAAAAAATGTTAGTAAATACTGTGGAAATAAATAAGGAAATTACATCTTATTCACTTAAAAATAGTATTGGGTCTGCAAAGAAAAAATGAAGCATGATTATTTTAATTACTGCCCACTGTTAGTCATATAACTACATGCTTATAGCAACACTTATGTACTTAGCCATTTGTGAACACGTGTTTGCACTGCAAGTGAAAAGGTCATATGGAATCTCCAAAAGAGCATCACCCAGCTATCCTATCCAGCCCTATCTCTACAACTGGCTCTGCAACCTTGGCAAGTTACATAGCTTCCCAAGTTTAATGCCCATTGCTATCTGTAGAAAGTGAAAATATTATTTAAGCTGACTACCGAAATAAAGTGTTCTTGTGTGGTCTCTAGAGAAGACAGCTAAAGCACTATTTTGCTAAGTTCAAGTAATAGTAAGAATCAAATCAAACTTAGGTATTTACTTCATACAAACCATAGGGTTGGACTCAATTATTTCTGAAAGCAATTACCACTGATAAGTGGTAAAAATATCGGGAATAGGAAACAATGAATCATCTTCTTATAAAAGAAAAGATTACAGCAGCAATAGTATTAAAAAAATAATGTGCCTGGGAAACTCAGTATTCCCAACCTAATTCTAAGGCCTGGCCAGTCAGAGGGGACCAAAGCAGTTGTCCATACCTTTCATTACCTTCTAGAGGGAACTCTCTCTGGCCTGCCACTCGAGTCACCACATGGTAATGGCAGACACATTCTTTTATGTTGCCCATAATGCCAGCAGAGGCCTAAGAAAATAGGAGCACCTTCTCTGTATGGACCCCAGTCATGGTACATTCCAACTCTCATGAACCCATGTGAGGAAGAGATCACTAATATGTAAGTGGCCATGACTAAGAACGCTATCCTATAAAAATTACAGATCTCATATCAAACTATATGCAAACTCCTGGCTAAAATAATAAAACAAAGGCTGTTTTTTAAAAAAAGAAAAGGGACAATACTCCGTGACATAAGAAAAGTAGTCATTTATTTTCAGCCAAAAAAGGGAAATATCAAAAGAAAAAATAAACTGATGACATAATTTTCCTCACAATATAAATTTTAGAACAGTGGTATGCTTATCAGGATTAAGAATCATAGGCAATAAACTTTTTTTTAAAAGTCTGAATATGTTGAATAAACACTATTCAAATGAAAGGAAACTTGCCAGAGGAAGTCAGTTGTTTTAAATGGAATAACAGCAAAAAGTATACATTGAGTCCACATTCATTTTAACCTCAACAAAATGTCTTTTCTCTTCTTGCAACCCACCACTTTTTAGTGCAACAGAGAAAGTTCCTCTAGGAAGTGACTGCCTGTGCTGTGGACCCAGGATGTATCTGCCAAACACACACAGCTCTTTCCACTCAGGCTTCATGAAAGTATGTTGGTGTCTCAGATCAAGCCAGAGAATGTAAACCTACTTTTACACACAGATTCTGAAGCTTAGGAACTGCCATCTCAAAGAAATGAATAATAACATCAACCAGATAAGTAAATGCGACTGGACAACCTTGTCATGGCCAGAGCTAAGAGGCCTCAAGAAAGCCTGTGTCTTTTATGGAAGCTGTTCCTAGACCACCTCTGGCCAATTTGCATCTGGCTTTTTTAACCACACATGGACAGGATTCCTATTCTCCTCAACCTTTGGTAGAGGCATTCATTCTGTTGATTTCACACTTTGCCTCTGCCATTCCAGGATTACAATGAACAGGATTACAATTTTCTACAAAGTATGTATAAAGCAGGAATGTATGAGTCACTGGAGCTAGATTCACAAGAATAGGAGAGACTTGGTACCTGTTAAAGCAATGCCTGGACTAAGGCACAATGCCTAAGATTATGAACTTTTTGTTGTGAAGTATTTTTAACATAAAGAACTAATATATAATAAACATCTGTGCACTCACCACCCTGACCTAACTTCTACGTCTGCAATAAATTTGCTTTAGATAGTCTCATATTAATTTGTATAAGCTTTTTTTTTTTAATTTCTCAGTCTTGCTAGAGGTTAGTTTTACTAATATTTTCATGAGACCAAATGTTGGCTCTGTCGATCCTCTTTACTGTACCATTTCTTCTAATTTCATTGACTTTATCCTTTTTCATCATTATTTCCTCGTTCCCACTTTGAGTTTGCCACATTACTCTTTTACTATTTTTATAAAATTCATTTTCAATTTTTTATTTTAAAATATACTTTTCAAGGCTATAATTTTTCCTCTAAATTTTGCTTTAGCTACATGCCACAATTTTGTTATCATTCATTTATAGTTTACACTTTCCATTATTTCATCTTTGACCCATAAGTTATTTAAAAACATGGATTTCTGCTGTTTCTAATTTGTGATGTTTATATTAATATGGTTTGTTTCACTTTCCTTGTGTTTTTATATGTGATCAATTTTTGTTAATGTTTTATATGTCTTCAGAAAACTGAAGTTCCTACTTTTGAGCTGCAAGGTTCAGATATGTCTAGTAGGTTAAGATTTTAATGGTATTATCCAAATCTTCTGCATCCTTGTTATTTTTTTTTCAACTACACATGAAATAATCATCTACTACTACTGTGGAGTTGTCAGTTTCTCCTTATAATTCTGCCAATGCTTGCTTTCTGTATTTGGAGACTATACTGTTGGGTGCCTGCACTCTCAGTTGTTATACACTGAATTCTTGGTAAGTATGTCTTTTGGCAAAGTCAAGACTTTCTTTAACTCTAATAAAGGTTTTCTGTTAAATTTAATGTGACCTAGTGGTAATACTTCTGCAACACTTTTCTTTTGGATAGGATCTGCCTCCCTCACATAACTAGTGTTCCATTTCTTTTTATTGTTGTTATTAGTTTTTTATTTTCTAATGTTAATTTTTATTGTACTAATTTCCCCATTTCTTTACTTTGAACTTTATTGTGTCATTATGTCTTACGAGTGATTCATAAATAGTATTTTGTTGGATTTTCTAAAATCAAATTTGACAATCTAAGCTTTTTTAAAAATGTGAATTTAACCCATTTACATTCATTACAACTGATACATTCAGGCTTATTTTTACTCTCTTATTTTCTGTGTTCTGCTGATCATTCTCTTTCTTTCTCCTCTTTTCTCCCTACCTTCTAGTTAATTAAGTTTTCTTTATTCCCCTATTACCCTTTATTCCCTTGGATATAATACATTCTACACTGATTTCTCCTTCCATCCCTCCCTCCCTCCCTCCCTTCCTTCTATTCTCTTGGAAATAATACATTCTACATTGATTTGTCCCTCCCTTCCTTTCCTCCCTTTCCTTCCTTCCTATCTTTTCCTTCCTTCCTTCCTTTTCTTCCTTCCTTCCCTCTCTCCCTCCCTCTCTCTCTCCCACCCTCCCTCCATCTTTCCTCCCTTTCCTCCCCTCCCTCCCTCCCTCTCTCCCTCCCTGACTACCTCTCTCTCTCTCCCTCCCTCCATCCTTCTGTCTGTCCCTCTGTCCCTCTGCCCTCCATCCCTCTGTCCCTCCCTTCTCTCTCTCTCTTTCTTTCTTGTATTTTTTTTAGTAGAGACGGGGTTTCACTATGTTGCCAGGCTGGTCTCAAACTCCTGGGCTCAAGTGATTCACCTGCCTCGGCCTCCGAAAGTGCTGAGATTACAAGCATGAGCTACCGTGCCTGGCCTCTATGATGATTTCTTTTTCTTTTTTTTTTTTTTTATTATTATACTTTAAGTTTTAGGGTACATGTGCACATTGTGCAGGTTAGTTACATATGTATACATGTGCCATGCTGGTGCACTGCACCCACTAACTTGTCATCTAGCATTAGGTATATCTCCCAATGATATCCCTCCCCCGCCCCCCACCCCACAACAGTCCCCAGAGTGTGATGTTCCCCTTCCTGTGTCCATGTGTTCTCATTGCTCAATTCCCACCTATGAGTGAGAATATGCGGTGTTTGTTTTTTTGTTCTTGCGATAGTTTACTGAGAATGATGATTTCCAATTTCATCCATGTCCCTACAAAGGACACGAACTCATCATTTTTTATGGCTGCATAGTATTCCATGGTGTATATGTGCCACATTTTCTTAATCCAGTCTATCATTGTTGGACATTTGGCTTGGTTCCAAGTCTTTGCTATCGTGAATAGTGCCACAATAAACATACGTGTGCATGTGTCTTTATAGCAGCATGATTTATAGTCATTTGGGTATATACCCAGTAATGGGATGGCTGGGTCAAATGGTATTTCTAGTTCTAGATCCCTGAGGAATCGCCACACTGACTTCCACAATGGTTGAACTAGTTTACAGTCCCACCAACAGTGTAAAAGTGTTCCTATTTCTCCACATCATCTCCAGCACCTGTTGTTTCCTGACTTTTTAATGATTGCCATTCTAACTGGTGTGAGATGGTATCTCATTGTGGTTTTGATTTGCATTTCTCTGATGGCCAGTGATGATGAGCATTTTTTCATGTGTCTGTTGGCCACATAGATGTCTTCTTTTGAGAAGTGTCTGTTCATATCCTTTGCCCACTTTTTGATGGGGTTGTTTGTTTTTTTCTTGTAAATTTGTTTGAGTTCACTGTAGATTCTGGATATTAGCCCTTTGTCAGATGAGTAGGTTGAGAAAATTTTCTCCCATTTTGTAGGTTGCCTGTTCACTCTGATGGTAGTTTCTTTTGCTGTACAGAAGCTCTTTAGTTTAATTAGATCCCATTTGTCAATTTTGTGTTTTGTTGCCATTGCTTTTGGTGTTTTAGACATGACCACATACTTGGAAGTAAAGCTCTCCTCAGCAAATGTAAAAGAACAGAAATTATAACAAACTATCTCTCAGACCACAGTGCAATCAAACTAGAACTCAGGATTAAGAATCTCACTCAAAACCGCTCAACTACATGGAAACTGAACAACCTGCTCCTGAATGACTACTGGGTACATAACGAAATGAAGGCAGAAATAAAGACGTTCTTTGAAACCAACGAGAACAAAGACACAACATACCAGAATCTCTGGGACGCATTCAAAGCAGTGTGTAGAGGGAAATTTACAGCACTAAATGCCCACAAGAGAAAGCAGGAAAGATCCAAAATTGACACCCTAACATCACAATTAAAAGAACTAGAAAAGCAAGAGCAAACACATTCAAAAGCTAGCAGAAGGCAAGAAATAACTAAAATCAGAGCAGAACTGAAGGAAATAGAGACACAAAAAGCCCTTCAAAAAATTAATGAATCCAGGAGCTGGTGTTTTGAAAAGATCCACAAAATAGATAGACCGCTAGCAAGACTAATAAAGAAAAAAAGAGAGAAGAATCAAATAGACGCAATAAAAAATGATAAAGGGGATATCACCACCGATCCCACAGAAATACAAACTACCATCAGAGAATACTACAAACACCTCTACGCAAATAAACTAGAAAATCTAGAAGAAATGGATAAATTCCTCGACACATACACTCTCCCAAGACTAAACCAGGAAGAAGTTGAATCTCTGAATAGACCAATAACAGGATCTGAAATTGTGGCAATAATCAATAGCTTACCAACCAAAAACAGTCCAGGACCAGATGGATTCACAGCCGAATTCTACCAGAGGTACAAGGAGGAGCTGGTACCATTCCTTCTGAAACTATTCCAATCAATAGAAAAAGAGGGAATCCTCCCTAACTCATTTTATGAGGCCAGCATCATTCTGATACCAAAGCCTGGCAGAGACACAACCAAAAAAGAGAATTTTAGACCAATCAATATCCTTGATGAACACTGATGCAAAAATCCTCAATAAAATACTGGCAAAACGAATCCAGCAGCACATCAAAAAGCTTATCCACCATGATCAAGTGGGCTTCATCCCTGGGATGCAAGGCTGGTTCAATATATGCAAATCAATAAATGTAATCCAGCATATAAACAGAGACAAAGACAAAAACCACATGATTATCTCAATATATGCAGAAAAGGCCTTTGACAAAATTCAACAACCCTTCATGCTAAAAACTCTCAATAAATTAGGTATTGATGGGACGTATTTCAAAATAATAAGAGCTATCTATGACAAACCCACAGCCAATATCATACTGAATGGGCAAAAACTGGAAGCATTCCCTTTGAAAACTGGCACAAGACAGGGATGCCCTCTCTCACCACTGCTATTCAACATAGTGTTGGAAGTTCTGGCCAGGGCAATTAGGCAGGAGAAGGAAATAAAGGGTATTCAATTAGGAAAAGAGAAAGTCAAATTGTCCCTGTTTGCAGACGACATGATTGTATATCTAGAAAACTCCATTGTCTCAGCCCAAAATCTCCTTAAGCTCATAAGCAACTTCAGCAAAGTCTCAGGATACAAAATCAATGTACAAAAATCACAAGCATTCTTATACACCAACAACAGACAGAGAGCCAAATCATGAGTGAACTCCCATTCACAATTGCTTCAAAGAGAATAAAATACCTAGGAATCCAACTTACAAGGGATGTGAAGGACCTCTTCAAGGAGAACTACAAACCACTGCTCAAGGAAATAAAAGAGGATACAAACAAATGGAAGAACATTCCATGCTCATGGGTAGGAAGAATCAATATCGTGAAAATGGCCATACTGCCCAAGGTAATTTACAGATTCAATGCCATCCCCATCAAGCTACCAATGACTTTCTTCACAGAATTGGAAAAAACTACTTTAAAGTTCATATGGAACCAAAAAAGAGCCCACATCGCCAAGTCAATCCTAAGCCAAAAGAACAAAGCTGGAGGCATCACACTACCTGACTTCAAACTATACTACAAGGCTACAGTAACCAAAACAGCATGGTACTGGTACCAAAACAGAGATATAGATCAATGGAACAGAACAGAGCCCTCAGAAATAACGCCGCATATCTACAACTATCTGATCTTTGACAAACCTGACAAAAACAAGCAATGGGGAAAGGATTCCCTATTTAATAAATGGTGCTGGGAAAACTGGCTAGCCATATGTAGAAAGCTGAAACTGGATCCCTTCCTTACACCTTATACAAAAATCAATTCAAGATGGATTAAAGACTTAAATGTTAGACCTAAAACCATAAAAACCCTAGAAGAAAACCTAGGCAATACCATTCAGGACATAGGCATGATGATTTCTTTAGTAGTTCTCTCAAAGAATGTTTAAACTTAAACAATATATAATCTTTATCAGTAACATCTTTGTTGTTTTACATATAAATAAATTGAAATACATTCACTCCAATCAGGAAGCCTCCCTCTAATACATCACTCAGCTAATGAGCTGCTCAATGACTGTTACTTCAAAGTCTATCTGCTCTTTTTTTACACAATTCTATCAGCCTCCCATGTTATTGTGTCTGTTATTTTTGTTCAACAATCTTGTTTGTAATACAATTTCCCAATTAGTCTCTACGGTGTTAAATTTTATGTGTCAACTTGACTGGGCGATGGGGTACCCAGATATTTGGTCAAACATCATTCTTTTCTTTTTTCTTTTTTTTTTTTTTTTTTTGGCAGGGTCTTGCTCTGTTGCCTAGGATGGAGTGCAGTGGTGTGATCTCAACTTACTGCAGCCTCAACCTTCCAGGCTCAATATACCCTCCCATCTCAGTCTCCCTGGTAGCTGGGACTACAAGTGCATGCCACCACAACCCCAGCTAATTTTTGTTTTTTTTTTTTTGTAGAGACAGGATTCTCCATGAGGTCCTGAACTCTTGGGCTCAAGCAATCCACCTGCCTCAGCTTCCCAAAGTGCTGAAATTACAGGTATGTGTGACCTTGCCCAGCCCAAACATCATTTTGGGTGCGTCTGTGAGGGTATTTCTGGATGACATTAAAATTTGAATGTAAACTGGGTAAAACAAATTGCCCTCCCTAATGTGGGTGGGCCTTATGCAATCCATTGAAGGACCGACTAGAACTAAAAGGCTGAGTAAGACAGAATTCTTTCTGCCTTGGAGCTGAAACATTAGTTTGCTTCCTGTCTGTGAACTCTAACTGAAACCTTGGCTCTTCCTGTGTCTCAAGCCTGCTGGCCTTCAGACTGGAACTACAACCACTGGCTCTTCTCATTCTCAGGGCTTTAGCCTGGAACTGGGACTACACTATCAGTTCTCCTGGGTCTCCAGCTTGTCAACTGTAACTCGAGGCTTATCAGACTCTATAATTGTATAAATCAATTACACACACACACACACACACATACACACACCCCTCCTATTGGTTCTGTTTCTCTGGAGAACTCTAAGAGTTGATTTCCATTTTTTTAAACACTCAACGTTTATTTAAATTTATCAACACATTTGCCGTATTTCCTTTTTCAGCATTGCTTCTTGAATCCCATTCTCTGCTTTTGGATTCAATATCCTTGTTACTGAAGCATTTCATTTATTAGTTCTTTCATCTGAAATCCGTGAGCAGTAAAAATGTTTTAGTCTTGCCTTATGTAAAAATATCTGTACTTAGTTCTCACTCTTGAATAATAATAAAACATAGTATACAATTACAGGCTAAGGGTCATTTTAATTCAACTCTGGAGATTCTACTCTCTCGGGATCTACCGTTACTTATAAGCACTCTAATGTCAGTCTAAAACTAATCCCTATATATGTAATTTGTCTTTTTATCTCTGATTACTTTTAATATTTTATTTGACATTCAATGGTTTCATCACTGTGTGCCTAGATGTGGCTATTTGTATTTCGTCTGCTTGGAATTAGTTGTTTCATGAAGCTAAGAATATATGCCTTTAACCAATTTGAAAAATTCTGAGTCATTACAGCTTTGTCCTCTATTCTCTCCTCTGAAACTGGTATTAGACATCTGTTAGAAGATCTTATTCTATCCTCTATGTCTCCTACTCTCACAAAGTGTTTGTATTTCCCCTCTCTTCATCCTTGTGTCATATTAAGGATGCTTTCCTTAGAGTCACCCTAGAATTCACTAAATTTTCTTGTAATCTAATTCTTCTAATTTTCTCCTAATCTTTTTGTCTAATACATCACTCAGCTAATGAGCTTCTCAATGACTGTTATTTCATTTCTACATTTTATTTTTTAAAAATCTGCTCTTACAAAATTCTATACCTTTATTTATTCAGTTATTTTTATTTACTCAGTTTATATATATATGCAAATATATAAAATGTTTAGATTTTATACTTTATATACTTTGTCTTATAGTTTATAGTGTCATTTCCTTATCTCTAGTTCATGGTATTCTATTTTTCTTTCTTTCTCTGTCTCTGTCCACTTCTCCATGGTAATTGGTCTCCTCCATTGGCTTGTAAATTTTTATTGGGAGCTTATTTTCAGCAAGAATTGTTTGACCTGCACTGTAGAATTAACCATGACAACGTAGTTTCATGTTTAGTTTTGCAAAGACCAGTTTTATTGTTAATTTCTTTGCTTGGCCTTTCTGCAGTAAACAGGAGCATAAATTTGGACCCAACCCCACAAATAGTGCTGACTTATTTCTAATTTCTATTTGTTCTCTCAATACTGCACAACCCAAGGCCACATCCACCAAGCAAGCTTCCTTGCCATTTTCTCCAAGAAAGTAGAGTTTTTCTAGTCCTTTTTATATGGTTTGAGCTATACATGGAAGCTCAATTCCGGCTCTTAGTTGCATATCTGTCCCCTGGGGAGTTCAAAACCCAAGCCCAGCCCCTCGTGTCTATATCTGAAGTTAGCAATTTCTGTAGATCATTCTGAATACAGGTTCTTTCTCCATTTCTGATACCCAAAGATTTTACTTCTCTTGTTTATACCTGGTCACATATCTTTTAAAGTTTTAAAAATTTTGTCTATCATTTCTATCTTTTTCATGGAAATATGGCCCACTAACAAAAGCTCACTCTGCCGTGTTGTTGAAATTTTTGAAGGCCCTTTAGTAATAAGTTCAGGGGAATACTTATTTACTTTTTTGTTTGTTAACTTTCTTTGGAGCCAGAGTTATAAAACTATACTTAAAAAGATCCTTCTAAGAAGTTGGACTCCCAAACAACAGAAAGAAGGGCAAGTGACAGGCATACGGACAGGATGGGGAGTGCAATCACCTAAACTACTACTAAGGACCTGCCTACTGTTATGGCATCTGGGAAGCCAGGGAAAAGGGAGAATGGTCATTGGTGGCTATAAAATGCATTGTTATCCTGATTCCTCCAACAGCTGCCATGATGTCTCAGGCCAAAGCACTGTGCTAATCATCAAGCTTGGGAAAGAAGACAACTTGTTTCTGTGGATGTGAGAATCAGTTCTATTAGATTCTCAAATATAACCCTCCGTTTTTTGGGTAGAGTGCTTTAAACAATTTCTCAACATGCTCATTATTTGGCAATTTGGCCTTGGCTCAGTGGAGACAATTTGCTCTTCCTGTGGTCTCCACTGGGGTGCATCACCTGGGTGCTGAAGGATTCACTTTGGTGGCGGCTCACTTGCATGTCTGCCATGTGGGTGAGGGGCCCTGGCTTCCTGACACAAGACTTAGAGAAGTAAGGCTTCCCTAAGGTCTGTTTGGGCTTCTCCTTGAAAAGGTTGGTGGGTTCCAAGAGCAAGCATCCCCAGATAATGATGCATAAGTTTAAGACCTCTTATGATCTAGACTTGAAAGTCATATAACAGGACCAATATTTTTATTTACATCTTCCTCAAAAGAAGAAAAATATGTCTTCCTTGAAAAAAGGTAAACTAGGAAAGACATGCAGAATAACACTTTCAAACAGACAGGCAGTAAGGATAAGCGGTTATGAGCAGAGTCTAGAATCAGACAGACTTGGTTCGAGGCCTGGCTCTTCCAGCTACTAGTCATGTTATCTTAACAAGTTAATGTTGACACCTCTCAGTATCCTTGTTTGTAAAAGAGAATAACATTGGTGCTTACCTTGCAGGGCTGTTGTGAAGATGAAATAAAATAACACACTGTTATGAACTTGGGCTGTTTGAGACTTGGGATGTTATAGTTGATTTGATGAGATGTTTATAAAGTCAGGGCCCTGCCATAGGCTTGAGAGACAGCCAGAAGTCAATCTATTCAACAGGCAAAATTTGCCAATGCCAGATTGATACTCCCATCTTACATCCCCACTCCCCCACCCCAGCCCATACACACATACACACTCTTTTGTGGCACTCAGTGCACAATCCACTACTAAAAGTGGGCTTGAAAAGAACTAGGTAGAAGTCCTTTCTACTTCTGTGTGTATTAGGTGAATGTGTTGTCACTCTTGGAAACTTTGTTATTTAAGTCTTGTCTATAACGACATAATAGAAGAATTTTCCCCCAGCTAAGGGCATTTCAAGTATTAGCAACCAAGCAAGTAAAGACTTTCCCAAGAATAACTAATATCACATCCATTTTTATAGCTCTTGCTTTCCTTAGCATGAGGTCAGAGAAGTAGCCAGCTACTGCTAGAAGAAACTGAGGCAAACAAGCAGGTGAAACATCTGCGCTCTCAAGATCCCGAAAGTCCTGCCTACTGCAAAGAATGCCTTTTGATTAGGCTGCACTTGAACTAAAACAAAAACAAGACCATATATCGTTGGGATCCCTAATCTAAGATCTCAAATAGGTTTAAGCAAGATAGGGGAACTAGTATGGACTGATTGTGTACTGGATGGCAGCAGTCAGGGAGAAGAAAGGATGTGTGAAGGAAGGACAGACATAGGGATAAAGATGAGAAGGAAAAGTCATGCACAGTCAGAGCTGTGTTGTGAGAGCCTAGTTCTCTCCCCACTTAAAACACACACACAAACAGACTCTGCAACTGAACAGCTGGATGGATATGGAAACTGCTGCTGGCAATACTCCCAAGGTACACCAGGAGCTTTGCCTCTTCATGTGGCTGCCCCAGGGGCTGAACTCCAAGACAGCAAAGCCTAAATACCAATTAGTATTTCATCTTTTCTTCCAATGATGGTTTAACGCCTTTGGATATCATGGTCACTAAAGTCCCAAGCTACATCTCCACAGGGGTTGACCTGCCAGTGTCTTTCCTGAACAATTTCCATATTGCCAGTGGCCTGCAGGAGCCTACTTGCCCTTGCAGTTGGAACTACTCCTCAAGAATTCTAAGCACTAGCCCACTGGCTCTCCCACTGCATAAAAGTGAAATCTAAAGCAGTTTGATCTCATTTGACAATCTGAATAAGAAATATCTTTTAACATTAGGGAATCCTATAGGGACAAATTAAATTATTCTCTCCAACTAGCACATAATCATGTAAGAAATAACTTAGACTAGAGCTATCAAATATAAAAGTATTATGTAAGGACAAGAGGAAGATATCTCCAAAGCATGAGTGTTCAGACTGATCGGAACCTTGTCTCAGGCAACTTGCAGCCTTATAGCCGCTATATGCCACCAATCCTTATCCAACAAGCACACATTCAACAAACATTGAGAAAGCACCTGGTTAATGCTATGAATATACTGAATTCTTCTCCACACTCACACACACAACTTCCAAATCTGGAATTTTTTTTCCTGACTTTCCTTTGGCTAAAACTTTGAGGCCTGGTTCAATGTTTACCTCCTCCATTAAAGCCTTCTCTTATTTTTTTCCAATCCACTTGCCTTCCTCTCCCTCATATTGTGGAATGGAGAGAACTCATATTGTGTATCAATCATTGGGCACTTGATTAAATGTCACTTTGTCAACTGATGACAAGAGATTGATCAGGATGCTGAAATGTTAAATCATGCCACATTAAAAAGGTGTCAATATTTTCTTAATATTGTCTTTAAGTATCTGGGGGTTTTCACATGGAAGTAGATTGAGGCTCATCATGTGGTCACCCCTAAGAAGACAAGAAAGAAATCTCACAAGTTTATTATTGGTGGTGAGGCTACAAGGTTTCAGATTTCAAGCTTGGATTTATGTGGCCCTTATTTAGTCTAAACAGATGATTCTTAACCTTTTCTTTTATTCATTAGGACCCACCTCAGAAGACTTCTTATTTTTTCTTACTTGCTCCCCCCATGAAATTTTAATGCCACAGATATGCTGCATATCTGTTTACACAATCTCACCCCCTTTGAGAATGCATGGTTCACATGGAGGATTAAGGAATTGTTTTTGTCAGGGTATTTGGCAAGCTGCTTAAAAGCAGAAAGCTTATTTGTTACCACTCCAAAGCCACTTTGCACAAAATAGCTACTCAACAAACTGCTGAATAAATACATTTATGAACACACTGCCAAAGGAAAGAGAAGACTACTCTTTCTCATAGGATACAATGGATCTTGAGGTAAACCGTGAAAACATCTAATGACTCATCTCCCAAAGAGGACTGCTTATCACTGGTATAGGTATGTGAAGTGACCTTACTAGCACACATTTTTGTTGTTGTTGTTAACAGTTATATAGTACTTTTATAAATAGTTTAAACTTACGGTAAGAGATTCCATGGTATTACCTCCTCCCTCCTGGATTTTCCTCCAATTCATATATTAGCAATTAAAGTTTCAAGCTAGTGCTCCATGCAGAGCAAATATAGGGCCACATAATGAAGGGAAGCCCTCTTCTGGGCTCACTGGGGCCCAACATGAGAGGTGAGATACAGGTAAAGCGAAAACTCCCATTCAAGATCAGAGGAGAAAGTTCATGGCAGCAAAGACCTACCGAAATTTACTGGGGTATCCAGAAAGCCTGATGAGATCAAATGTCTTATAGTCTATGAAAAGAAAGAAAACTGGATGCTTCTAAAGGTGATACCACAGTGGCTACTGGTATGACCAAGTCTGTATTATTCAATGAGACAAGGGCAAGTCTCTGCTTTGCAAGTTGATGACTTCAAGAAGCCTCTCTAATAATTCCCTCTGGTAGCCTGCTCATTTATGTCTCTTGTGTTTCCAATTGCTGGCAAAGGCCCATACAACATCATGGTGTCTGCCTCAGTGCATAATTAGAAAGCAGTTAATTCTAAGTCATTAAAAATGTTGCCCAGGATTGGAAGTATTCAAGGAAAGGGGGCACAAAAGTGTGTTCTTTTTCGGCAGGCTCCCGAATCTAACGGGAAAGAACAACCTAAACTTTATATCTTAAATTGTAGGAGAGGGATAGGTAGGTGAGCAGAGGCGAAATTTCAAGGCATGTTAAACGATATGAAAATTCAAACACTTTTAGTATGCTGAAAGAAACATTTCCTGGGAACTAAACCCATGTGACTAATTACAGCCAGGGACAGTGCTTCTATTCAGAAATAACTTTCGTCTAATTCTCCTGAGAAAAATCTCAACAACTTTCAAGGAAAACACCGCTATTCAATTTCTGCCCATTATCCAACACAGAGATCTATCTTTCTTGCACTTTATTAGGTACCAAAAAAAAAGTCAAAATTCTATGTGTCAAACAACCTATGCAACGAAGGCGAGGTACAGGTCAGCTTCATTTTAAGGAGAGACAAATACCATAAAAATATCCTACCAGGTTAACATATTTTTGCAGCGGTTTCAAGATTCTCTTGAGTTTTCAAGAAAGCTTACATTTTGGTCCCTCAAGCAAATGAGCTATTCATTTAAATGAACAAGTTAGTAGCCTGATCTAAAAATAGTTGTACAATTAACAGTGTACTATATAATTAAAATCCGTATATCATTAAATGATGCGGATGTTAACTTCACTATGAATTCTTTATGTAATGAGACAGTTAAAAGATACATTTCTTCAGTTGTAATTAATCTTTCAGCAAGGCCGCTGAGCACAATGGCAGCACAATGCTGTGCCAAAGTGAGAGATAGAGTTTACAAAAAGACATGCTGCAAACTCTTGGGGCTCTGGAAACAAAGTGTGTTAAGGGAGAAGGGCAATTAGTCTCTGAAGCAACACTTGTTCTGTAAGCATCACCTTTGGACACCCCAAATGACAGAGGAGTGCTAGAAACTACTCCATAGAAAACAGATGATTTGCATTTTGTACCCTTGGCAATTTTTTACAGTGGCCGTGGTCAACAGAACAGTTGAAGACAGGGATGAGGAATTTAATACATTTTTAAGAACTGAAGAAATTACTCCCACAGTGCAGCAATTAAGTGTAAATTAAAAGAACCATTTAATTACATTTTTTGCTGACTTTAGCAGAAAAAAATGTTAATAGTCACCAATAAAAATGAATATGAACCCAAAACATCTATAAATTAAGCACCATTATGCCAGGATAATAAGAACATTCATGTTTAGATTATCACATACAGCTGCAGTATCCTGAGCTTGGAGTATTTCAGTGGCCTCACGAACTTCTTTCTTCGTTATGAGGGGAAAAAGGGTTGATGTGAGAACAAAGTACTGTCAGCAATCTACCCTTTAAACTGCTCAGACCTGGAAGGCACACTCATTGCTTTATTTCTTTGCTCATTTTTCTCGGAGATTGGTACATCTGAAAAACCTTTCTACAGATCTATACAGCACTACCGTTCAGCAAGAAAAAGAGAGTTATATTTTCCCCTTGAGTTAGGACGCCTCATGACAAACGATAATGGATAATCAATAAACTGGGAAATATGAGGCCACAAACTTTATGAAGCCAAGAGACATATTACTTCTGAACAACACTCATTTCCCTTAACAAAGTCACTACTAGACTGTGCCTAATAATCTGAAAGAAAATCAAAGGACCTGCAACCACATCAGCAATATTGGCAACTTATTCCACTTTAATGGCATTTTGATTGATTTTTCTGCCTAATGGTAGTTTTATACTGTACATTTGACGCTGCTTCTGCAAAATAGTTGTGTGTAATAAACATCCCCGAAGGCAAACAGTGAACATTAAGGTTCTTGTCTTACTAGGAATCATAATTGAAGCTTGACCAACATTGCCTTTGGCCTTTTAAAAGAAATCTTTTTGCAAAAGCTATTCCTTTCTGTTTTTCCTTTCTATGAAGGACCTGATATGTGGTCAAGGCATTTTGTTTAAAAAATTCATAAAGAGGCTGACCTTGACAATGACTTTGTGTGTTTCAGTAAAGCATTGACCTGCTGGAAATGGAGACCCCCGCGCTAATAAATCAAGCACATTTAAAATGAGTTACCCTAATGCTCATTCATCACAGCTGTAATGCCATTTGCAGCAGAGGATTCGCCGTCCTGCGCAAACACTGCAGTAAATAATAACACTTGAACATCTCTGCATCATTGCAGGTTCCAACACCACAAGCATACGCTTATTAAGGAGCCTTTATTAGACAGCGTATTCTCACCTAACAGGCCAGATCATGGTAAGGTTAAGAGAAATATATACGGCTTTTTCAAAAGAGGAATGTGACACTTTCATAACTATATATTCTTTTATGTGGAGTGTGTGTATGTGTGTATGTACTAGAGAAAAATTCCGTTACTTTCAGGAAAAAAAAATCTCATTCTCACCTAATTTCTTAAACATCCCACCCCCTTTACAGTGTGTGTTTCTGAATTCCTTACTCTATACAAAAGCATGAGCATCAGTCTAAGAAATGTCCTTGCCACCTCAATGCACACTAGAATTTTGTTCAAATGTGGAAGCCTTTTATTTGGTATAGTATAGTTTTCATAATCACCCACCCTGCCAAATTTTTTTTTTCCATCTTTATCTACCAAAAAGGGATGTTGAAAACACAAAAAAGGGCCATTCAAAGCAAAGTAGTTTTGACAATTTATACGATTCAGCTCCAGAGAAGCATACTGGCTGGTTTGGTACATTTTGTACAAGAAATTTGCATTTTTCTCTGGGATGAAAATGCCATTAACTAAATTAAAAAATAGGAAAGAAATCTCATTAGAAGGCAACATTTGTTGCAGGAGGAATGCAATAAACAATAATGAATGACAATCGTTATTACTCTTGACACTGATGAGCTCCTGAGCAAATTTGTTTATTAATTAAAAACGTACTTTTTTGCACACAACTCATTGAACTGCAAAGATGCTCATATATCAAACTTCATCTCAGATGGAGATAATGCACGATGGTAAAGCTGATTTTCCATGATGAATCTCAGAGCATATAAATTGGCTAATATCTGAAAACATTTACAGATACTAGAGGAATTGACTACTTGTAGGACATGATGAATGGGCCTTTCAAACACCCGGAGACAGCTCTGCAAATCTCCCCGGCTGCTAAAGCCCTCATTTGATTTTCCAATTTACTCCTCTTAAATTTATCTTCCCACTAGAAATAAAAAGTGCTGATACTTTTCCCCAGTGCCATCCCAGAGAAGATGACTCCAAAGGGTTACTCTGGCAGAACTAATCTGCTTACACCTGCTCTTCCTCACCTGACAGAGCCGGGACCTTCTAATGCCTTTTCGTCTGATCATTAAACTGAACTGAATATGCCTTCAGATCCACGTGAAAGAGAGTAATTAGTATACTTGTCAAGCCAGGTACAGCCCTGCTTACCCTGCTTTTTTTCCCTCCAGCAGCTAATGAACTGCTCCCATCTCATTATTCAAAAATAAAAAGGCACTTAGTATACTATGAACTGATTTCCCTTGCCTTTTTTTTTTTAAAGAAGTAACAAGATTCGGCGCTGATCAACCCTACCATTAAGTTGACAAAGTGATGAATATGCTTCTGGATTGGTGAAAAGTTAGCCATTTGGTAGTCTGAGATGCTACTAAACTATTTTACAAGACAACCTGGAGTATACTTCCTTGCTTAATTGAATTTGAGACCTCCCCCCACCCCAACCAAATCGATCAAATTAGTTATTCTCCACCTTTATACACACAGGTGTTCAGCATGTTTGCACTGTTCTATTTCCCCCCATAGCACTTACCACCTTAATATACTGCATTATTGATTTCTTTATATGTGTATGATTGGCCTTCACTGCTAGGATGCAAGCTCCTGGAGGACAGGGATTTTGTCTGTTTTTGGCTTTCCTGAGATCTCCCAAGAGCCTGTAATAGTACCTGGCACACAGAGGTACTTAAATATTGTTGAATGAAAAAGAAAATTCATATTGATACAGAGATCCTTTGATGTTACAATAAAAAAAGTATAACTACTCTAAGAGTTTAAAATTTCAAAACTTGTTTTCTTTCATATTATAGTGAGGAAAAAAGGAAACATTCAAGACATGTTTCATAGAAAAAGAATACAGTAAAAAGAAACAGTACAAAAAACTGTTTTCTCCCTATTTCAAAAAAAAAATGCTAAGTGAAATTCTAAAAATTTAAACTAATAAAATTTAACATTCCACTTTTTATGCCAAAGCAAGCTGACATTTTGAATGTTTCAAAATTCTGCCTACTCTATTTTAATTCCTGGTGGGGAAAAAAACAACATTGCCAAGGTCAAACAAATTTCAAAACATCAAAATCCATAAAATGATTAATTAAAACAGTGCACATTTTTATCCCTTAGAAGAAACCAAAACTGATGTATTCTGAAGTTCTTCTAGACCCAAAGGTGATTCCACATTGTTTACATGACTGCACACAACACAAGGCTCAATTTTCAGAACTGTCAAACACACCTGCTATAGGTACAAATAAAATCTTCTCAAAGGAAGACAATTGTAAGAGGAACAGTACCTAAAAAACATCAACATTAACAATAAAATCTTTCAAAATCGGTGCCTGACGAATGAACTAAATCCTAGCTGATCACATGATCATATGGCCTGCTCAAGGAAGAAACTGGATAATATGTTTGCTGAGTAACGATTTTGATCTAAATTGAACATGCAGCTGTGAGGACCTCATCTGTCCTACTAGAGCCTAAGTCTCTAGAAAGTAGATAACCCAATTCAGCCAAAAGAACCAGCTTTCCATGGGGTGGGGGTGGTATATGTTCAGTAAACAAAAAAAAAGAGAAACACACACACAATATGTCAGAATGATTTTAAAAAATAAGACAGGAAATATTAAAAACAAAAAAATCTGCCCTTTTTTCATCCACTTGTCAACCTAATTTCCCCCAATCCTTTTGCCTTTCATACTTTTGCTAAAGATACCGTTTTCTACCTTCCAGGCAAAAAGCAAGACAAGCAACCCCAGACAAAGAATATTGCCAATGCCAGTGCTGACTCAAAGAACACGCAACAGATGAATGGTTTCGTGACTGGTGCAGCTACTTCCTTCATCCCCAAGGACAGAACGGCCTCTTCCCTGTGTGGCTGCACTGGAAGGAGAAGACAATCTGTTGCTAAATACCTCAGAATAAGGCCACACATTAATGTTCCCTCTTTCACATACTACAAATAATTCAGAGACTTTTCCTATTTTCTTGTTTCAGATACAACTAGAGACAAACAAAAACACAGAGGAAATGCTGCTGGATACTATTAAAGTGGTAAGAATAAGTTTTCGCTCAAGTTACAACCTTAGTGTTCTCAACTGGCAGATTATTAAACACAATATACTCTTTTCTCTCTTATTTAGTGTTTTTTTTTCCTCATGTAAATAAAAATGCTAAAAGTCTAAACTGAAGCAACTAAATATACAAAATATCATTTAAAGGAATATTCCTAAAGAAGCTACACTTTTCTCTATCTCATTCTTTACCAATGTTCACAGTCTGAAAACAGGAACAGCTACAATGGACAGGCAGAAAACCAAGATTAAAACAAGAAATAATTCAAAAATAAGTCAAGTAAAAAGGCTATAGGAAATTCTTACCATCCATACCTTGTAGACAAAGGTATTCACTGATCATCCAGCATTTTTGATAATTTACGGAGAGAAGAGTGATGACTGAAGCATAAAAAAGAACTCAAAGGTCTGGTTTTAAAAGGAATTCACCTGTATATTGATGGCCTCACTTCAAAACTGTTGCTTCTAAATAATCAAAACTACTTGATATGCAAAAACAAAATCAACCCGAAATACAAAGGTGTCTGTTAATAAATATAATAGATTTGTCAAAATTTAGGTCAGATTGAGGAAATTTACTTTTGATACTTATCAGGCCTCTTTATTAACAAGAGTAACTAACGAAAGAGTTTATCTGTGTTCTTGAAGAGGAGCGCTACTCTGGACTTCTGTTAAATAGTTTATCACTGAAATGAATAGCAGACAAGGATATATGTTTGCTCAGTTTATGGGTAACACAGACAAGAGAAGAAGGAGTATGGAATTAAAAGAAAAAATTAAAATGTATGCTACAAATTTAAGTTCTAAATCTAAATAAAAGTTGTTTAGTGGGACTGTATCTCAAAATTATACATATATGTAAGTTCAAATATAAAAATGATAAATAAACAGGGAGAGGAGACTAAACTTCCTTACAGAAGAAACCCAAATAATATCTCTCCACACTCCTCTCTCCAGAAGGCAGAGTTTAATCATTCTCCTCAACTTGAGTGTGTACTAAATTTAGTGACTTGCTTCCAAAGAAGAGAGTATGGAAAGGGAAAAATAGTAATTTTACAATGGAGAAATCTAGCAAACACTAACCTAACCAACAGATTAAGGTTAACATAACCAGTGATAAATCATGTTGATACCACATACCCCTTGATATGATATAATGATAAGGGAACTTCACCTTATTCTTCCCCAAATCTATGAGAAAAACCTTAGACACATCCAAATTGAAGGCATTATGCAGAATATCCTCTGCAAAAACATCATGACCATCAAAAACAAGAAAAGATTGCTTTCACACACCAGAGGAGACTTGGGAAACAAGACAGCTAAATGTAATGTGGAATCCTGGATTGGGTACTGGTGAAATTTGAATTACGTCTGGAGTGCAATCAATAATAGTAAGGTACCAGTGAGGGTTTCTTAGTGTTGACAAATGTATCACAGTAATATAAGATGATAACATTAGGGATAACTAAAACTGAGTGATGGATATAGGCAGAACTCTCTGTACTATCTTTGCAACTTTTCTGTAAGTCTAAAATTATCCCAAAATAAAATTTTATTTTAAAAAAGTAAAAGCTTTCTATTAGACTTGCTTCTCCCAGAAATGACCTTATGACAAACTTAACCCTTTCATTACCACTAAAAACATCAACCCCTGTTACTTTTGAGAATGTTGGTTATAAGAATTCCAGAAGTATAAGATACAAGTATGGGTAATTACAGCAGGAAAAAAGTAAATTTCAATAGTGCATATGCAGATAGATCTAAACATATGCTGTTGTTTTGTTACTATAAGATATAATAAATTAGAAAACGAATTCAGGAAATTGAGGCCAGCCTCCATTCTATGTAGCTTTCATAAGACCATAATTAATTTCCGCCCATACAGAGCATCGTAAACATTATTTCAAGAGGTTTCCGAAAAGGATCTCTAAAATTATCAGAGAATTCACAATTCAAGAGTACCTAACGAAGAAGAAGGGAAATTAATCCTTCATATGGCTCAAGTGTAAGTATTTGTTGGAATATTACTGCCTATTACTATAAAAATCATGATTCTTTGAGTGCCTACTATGTGCCAAGTAACATGCCAGGCAATTTACAAAATCATCTTTAATCTGTTTAACTTTGAAAGGTAAATGTTGTTATCTGATTTTAAAGAAGAGCAAACTAGGGCTCTGGAAGACTTCACCCAGGATGACAGCTAGTATAGGATCAAACTGGGACTCCAACTCGACATATTGTGGAAATATGCACCAATGATAATAGGTGAGATTTAGGTAAAAAGAAGAAAAACTTTTATGACAGTAAGAGATGCTAAACACTTGGGCAATATCTAAACAATGCAGTCGATTTACATTCATTAAATAATGGAGAGAGGATGAATCTGAAATCAGAAGACACAGATTCTCCCACTCGTTCATTGCTTTTGTTTGTTCATTTGTGCATTCAGGCATGTAACAAGAGTAAGCAGGACATGTAGGCTTGGGTTTTCCAAGTTCAAGTCCCAGCTCTTGTCCTTTCTAACTGTATGACTAAGCTGGTCACTTAACCTGAAATTCAGTTTATCATTTATAAAATGCAATCATAACATTTGCCTTAGCTATGTCAGAGCTATTTATGTGTCAAATAAAATATATCAAAACTTCTTATAAACTATAAAGTTCTATTGAAATGTTTTACATGTTAGCTACAAAATTTCTTGATACCCTCTCAACCCTAGAGTCACAAGGAAATGGTAGGTACATTATCAACAAAATATTCACCTCAAGTCAACAAATATTTATGGATGTATCTAGGCAATGAACCAAGACAAGGAACACTGAGCCCAAGAAAAATTAGTCCTGTACTGATTATATAAAACATCTTCTCAGGCTGAAAAACAAAAACAAGAAATTGGAGATTAGGTGGCTTAGTGAAGAAGACAAAACATTTACCTACACATAATAATCAGTTTTAGCAAGAATAAGTTAGGGAATCCCCTTTAAAATACAAAGGTTAGCTTGTATACAATGACATCACAGATCAACTATAATCCAAGAGGCCAACACATAGGTCCTGAATGAAGCAGAAATTACCTACAATCTACTTGACGTGTTGTATTTTATGTTCTTGTAAAGAAAATAGCTCATATTGTCTGCATATTTTTATCTGGCTAATGAAAAAATACTATTCATATTTTCCAAGAATGTTGTTCATCAAGCTTCTTAAGCAAAATAGTATTAACAACTAAAATAAGAGCTATAAGGTGAAGCACAAAAGAAAAACTTCGTATCATCTCATTCTTAAATATATTAGCGTCTTCTCATGAATAAGAAGAAAAGTGGAATTCCTAAATTCTCAAACTGTGACGTAATATTGGTTTTATTGATTCTCTGTACAATTTGTAGGAGTACCCAATCATTATTTTGACAGTTTTATCATAAAGTAATAGACTTCCTTTTAGATAATTGGCAGTTACCACATTGAATTTCAACCTTCCATAGGATTTCTTCCTAGATACAGCTTTACTGTCTGTCCTAGATCACATTACTTTCTTTTTATAGCTGTACACACAAAGCGTTTTAGGTGCTACACCTAATTATGTCAGCACAATAACAATTTAAAAGCTCATGATTAAGAAATAAAGGTTAAGCACTTACATGTTAAGGCTCCTTTTTACAAAGACATATAGTGCTATGTGACATAAGTAAATGAATTACACAAGCACTTAAAAGTGTGTTGGAGGATTACAAAAAATAAGAGCTCTTTTTGGGTAAACTGGGGAATTTGATGAGTTTGTCCAGGCAAGGACATTTGTTACCTACAGTATTGACTTGCAAGCTTTCTGACTCATGAAAATGATTTGCTACGTAACTAACTTTCAGAAGACAAAACTGTGCTATAAAATATATTTTTCCAAAGGGGAGTAGTTGAGCATAATTGTGAGGAGCACAGGCTCTGGAATCACATTGTCACTGCTCACTGCATGACCTGCAGCAAATCACTTAAGCTCTGGGTACCTCGGTTGCCTCATCTGTAGATGGGGATAATACTACTACTTGACTTATAAAGTTGTTATGAGGAATAAATATCCAAGTAGGTAAAGCACCTAGAAAGTACCTGGTATATAATATGTGCATATTAAGTGTCAAATTTTATTATCATTGCTTATTTGAACTGCCTTAAGCAGCTAATAACCAAATAAGGACATGAGAAAGCATTAAAACTGACAGCTCATCTAAGACAGTGCATGGAGGTGGCAGAAACATAATGGGAACCAAGAAATGAGCTATTCATGGAATAGGGAAGTTTGGGGCATTCTAACCCAGGAGAAAAAGAAAACTGAAAGTGCATAAGTACTTTGTAGGAAGAATGAATTAGGCTAAAAGGAAATCTAAATACAGAGGTCCAAATTGGTATCTAAGGATGAAAATCAAATGGGAGAAAATAACACGATTAAACAGAGATCTATACAATAGGCACAATATAACCAAGAACATTGTTCTGACAATCTTGCAGTCTCTGGCAAATGTGTATGTATAGTGAGGGGAAGGGGCAAGTGTTAGCAGGGATGGGATACAGATAAAGATCAGTAGACTGCAGAAGGGAACAACTACAAAGAGACTAGGTTTAGCGGCTAATCAACTTAGCTGTAAAATCCCCTGAAAATACCAGCCATGATAATTCTCAGTCTACTACATTTCATCAGTGGGGGTAGAGGAGAATTACTTGATTTCTGTATTCCATAATTTCCACAATTCCACTCAATAATTATGAAATTGTCAGAAAAAAAAGGCTTTGTGTCTGATAGGCTCAGGCAAAAATTCTATCCCCTAGTAAATTTACCTGATTTTTTTTAAAAGAAGTAAAATAAGAACAGCCCTTTATTAAAAAGAGCAAAGATACAATATAATTTGGCATCCACAGTAACTACTTCCCTTAAGATAAACAAAAAGTACCTCTATTAAGTTATTGTGTTTCTAAAGAAGAAAAACAAATCTGCATGGTTCTGCAATAAATATCCTGGAATAACCAAAAACGTCAAGTCAATATCCCATACAAACACCAAAATGAGAAATATAAACTAAAAAGAGGGTTTTTCTTATGTATCAATATATGTAAATGAAAGTATGTTTTGAAGTTCTAAGAAAATTCCACTGTATTATAAATATTAAAAATAACTTTCTTTAAACAGAAAAAAAAAGTATATGAAATCAGGATTGTACCAGAAAATTTAGCATACATAAGCACTATACATTATGAACCATTTTTGACTTCCATAGTCTTCTTAAGACAAAAGCTCCAGTGGTGGTGGGAAAGACCATCTCTGTCCAAATGAAGCAACATAGGTCATCAATCCTTGATTCTGTGCGTCTCTTCAGGTTGTGGATAAACCCTGCAATCTCTTTGGACCTTCCTTAACTACTCTTTCACCATCCTCTTTCTCTATCCTAACAACCTGTTCACTGATCAGTTTGCTTTTCATATATTTAAATTTTCTTCACGAGTTGAGAAAAATAAAAGGGGAAGAACATTAACCAGTAAAGGTTTTCTATAGTAAGCAGGATTTATAAGCTCAGTAAAATATCAACATTAATAGCCAAGGTAGATTATTTTTGAATTTCAAGAAACCATCCTCTGCTGTACCCACAATCATGGGTTATAGACTACACTTTACACTATAAAGCGTAGTTGAAATCTAATTTCCAACACAGAGCTTCTTGAATGACAAAATCTTTCAATACAATCATTACCGTTAATATTTATCACACAATGCATGTACTCTTATATGTCTTATCCAAACTAGTGAAAATAAGTTATTTTCTCATTTCACCAGTAGTAAAAAGCAAGTCTACAAACAGATACAAGAAAATGCCTAACCAAAGATACGACTTTTTATCAATAAAAGCATAGATTCCAAAATAAGTTCATTCCTACTCCTAGAATTTCATCTGAATTGTCTAGGCCAACACATTTCAAAGGATAAAATATGATACAGTGGAGCTTTCAAGAAATTGAAAACATAGCATCATGCAGAAGCTTTAAAAGTTTGTTAACTAAAACTTTCCTCATGTTTTAATATTTTACAAGAATATAAAAAGCACCCTCATGCAATGCATAAGGAAATAATATTTCCCTCTTAATAAATGTGTAACCAGGCTGGGCGCGGTGGCTCAGGCCTGTAATCCCAGCACTTTGGGAGGCCAAGGCGGGCGGATCACGAGGTCAGGAGATCGAGACCATCCTGGCTAACATGGTGAAACCCCGTCTCTATTAAAAACACAAAAAATTAGCCAAGCGTGGTGGTGGGCGCCTGTAATCCCAGCTACTTGGGAGGCTGAGGCAGGAGAATGGCGTGAACCCGGGAGGCAGAGCTTGCAGTGAGCTGAGAATGTGCCACTGCACTCCAGCCTGGCGACAGAGCGAGACTCCGTCTCAAAAAAAAAAAGTGTGATCAATAAACAGGAGGCTTGCGAACAGTTGGAAGCATTACCCTCTAGAATGAGCTAGAGAAGCTCAATGTATTCACTTCTCAATAAGGTATTCATTCTTGAAATATGTAGGTATACAAATGAAAATTTAATCATTAATAATTTTGTGGATTAAATAAACACTTGAATAATTAAGAATCAAATGAGGGTTCACATGTAGAATGCGGAGTGCTTCCTCCTATTTGAAATTGCTTGGAAAAACCATTCCGTTTATACATGATTCACAAATCTAAATATGGGGCTCTGAGAAAGAAGCCCACACTTCCACATTTATAAAACTCTTCTATAAACTGTGGTCTGGAACCTGAATTTCATAGCCTGAAGTGAATTCCATTTTTTCCCTTCTCTCATTCAAAGCAACTCTTATTCCTCTTAGCATGAGATACCCAACTTTTAAATCTCAGATGCATCCTGGGTTCCTTTTACTTCCTCACTACCAGTATCCAGTAAATTGCCATGTCTACAGACTTTATTTCCTTTATTACTTTCATTGTAAACCGTAGTTCAGACCTGAAGTTTGCTAAAGATAATGCAATAGCTTATTAGTTGGTCTTTCTCACTACACTCAGAATTACCTTACTTCAACACATTTTACAGTGTTGCTGGATCATCTTCAACCTTGGTTCTTAACTGCGGTCAACAACACATAGTTCTGTGTCATGATCTATTACAAAGTGAGCTGCAAGTTATTTATAACTAATACCAAATCTATTTAAAAGTACTTTTAAATAAATGAGAGTTGATTTAGCTATTTCTGTAATAGTACTCTCCTTCGGTTTTATTCCAATTTGCTTCCTTGAGTGGAAGAGAGGTGGTGGAGTTATAGGAAAGTGCTAGGAATTACACAAATCCTGGTTATCTCACAGTTCAGCACGATGATGGTGGAAGGGGAAGCAAACACATACTTCTTCACATGGTGGCAGGAAGGGGAAGTGCCGAGCAAAAAGGAAGAGCCCGTATAAAACCATCAGATCTTGTGAGAACTCACTCACTATTACAAGAACAAAAGCATGGGGGTAACCGCCCCCCATGATTCAATTACCTCCTACTGGGTCCCTTCCACAACACGTGGGGATTACGGGGAACTACAAGATGAGATTTGGTGGAGATACAGCCACACCATTTCAGATATCTTCCGTATCTGTCTTGTTGAAAAGCACTGTCATAAAAAACTAAATAAAAGCTCTCATCAAGTCACTCTGCTATTCAGAACCAACAGTGGCTTCCCATTCCCTGTTAATTTAAATATAAATACCTAGGTCTGGATTTCAGTATCTTCCATCATATAACCCCATCTGAATTTGTCCAACTTTAATTCCCACTAAGATTGTACATACAAACTTTCTTTGTTCATAGAGTTCTCTGTCTTAAATTGTCTTCTCTTGAAGCCTCAATCCATGAGGCTTCCTCTAATTCTACAAACTAGAACACATCTCTTCTTTGATTCCTTTCAAAGAGATGTTTTTACCTCTAAAGGCACAGACAGGATCATAAGTTGGGCATCCCAAATTCAAAAATCTGAAATCTGAAATGCTCCATAAACGTTTTGAGCATTTCAAAGGAAATGCTCATTGGAGCATTTTGGATTTTGGATTTTGGATGCTCATCCAGTAAGTATAATGAAAATATTTCAAATCCAAAAAAAAAAAAAAAAAAACTAAAATCTGAAACACTTCTGGTCCCAGACATTTCAGATAAGGGATACTCGATTTGTGTTACGTACACACATGATACATTCCACTAAACTATGAGTTCTTTGATGAGTTTTATCCTTTCTTCCATCCACTGTAGCACCTAACATAGTGCCTGGAATATAGTTAGGATTCAAATAGCTCTTGACAATCTGCAGAGGAATGAAGAACATGAATTCCAAAGGAATTAATATCCTCTTATTGTTAGAAAGGGACCACTCAAAGTCTAATCAGATCTAAACACCTACTGGATGCCTTCTCATACTTTCTTCTATTAAACTCAGGTTTTGAAGATGATTGTACCATCTTTTGATGGCCTAGCATACTGAAACTCAGGTTTTGAAGATGATTGTACCATCTTTTGATGGCCTAGCATACTGGCAAAAGGTATAAACCAGTTTGTTTGAAAACTAAAATTAAGCTCATTCAAAAAGTAAGAACAAAATTTAGTAATCCCATCAGGGAAATCATAATCCCATTCTGGTGTGTGTGTGGAGGCAGGGATTATACACATTATGTTGAAAAGCACATTCCCTTAAGAAAATAAAGAGGAACTCTACAAAACATTCATCTTTACGGCAAATTACATTCAACTGTATGGCTCAGTTTCAAATGATGTGACTATTAACCTCGGTCTATCCCAAAGCCAGAAAGATTAAACAGCAACATGAAAGAAAGCAAAGGTAAGCTGTATAAAATCTCCAGGACATAAGCAAAAACATCAGTTTATAATGAGGATTGAGGTATTTTCTCAATGGTTCTTCAGAAATTTTAATCTGCCTTATATTCAGACTCAGTAGCAGTAAACATGGTCGATTTACAATTTTATTATAATGTCAACCTCCCTATTAATAATAGTGTTCACCTTATAAGTTATAGAGGATTGATTTTCATAAAAGGACTGAACATTTAGACAATTTTATCCTGTTTAAGGATATTTCCATTATCATGTCTACTCATAAAATTTTCATTAACAGTTTTCTATACTTAGAGTTTTCATTAACAGAGATTTTCTATAATGCTCCTAGTAGAAAGTCACCATTATTAGTGTGAAACTTACTCATTTACTCATCACTCACTCACACATTTAACATTTGAAAGTTAATAGGGAGCAGGACCTGTGCTAAAATCAGGGAGCATTGAACAATAACAAAAAAACAGGTAAAATCACTAGCATTCTTGTAAAAGTTAAGATGGAAAGGTGATCCCAGGGGTAGACTATAAAACATGGGAGTAAAATTTAGCCTTCCTTAAGCAACTCAGTCTGTAACTGGTCAGCACTTTCCAATTATACTCTCAATGCAATTAGAAAACACGGTATAAAACAGAAAAATATGTATTTTGATACTTTGACACTTAAATGATTTGTTAAAAATATAACGACTGACTTTAAAAAAAAAACACATCCAAACAGAGTCTCCCTATTACTTATTATTAATCATAATGTTGTTGGTAATATCCTCTGCTAGGAAGAAAGGCTACTGAGTGGGGTAGGGTTCAATCACTTGGATTGATGGCATGATGAGTGAAGAGCTCTTTATCTCCTGCTTTTACCCAGGTCTGTGATGTGACAGGAAAACCTGCAATGCTAGTCTAAAAGCATTTCCCCAACAATTATTCTAACTGCTACTTTATTCAGTGTAATGCAATAAAAAGAGTTGTTGACAAGGAGCTGGAAGCCTTGAGTGTGAGCACCAGCACTGCCATCCACTTCACACCCTTTGCTACCACTCCATTTACAACTCACCTGTACACTGGCCTCACATGCTCCACCCACCTCCCTGGGTGATTCCGAGGCCACAGAAAACCAGAGATGCTATTCTCTCCCAGAACAGCCTCACTTCAGATTTCATGAGGAAGAGAAAATGGCACAACATGGATAAACTTCCTCATGTCTAATTTGGGAGGAAGAAAAATAATTCAATTGAACAGATAAAACTTGGAATCTGGGTTCTAGGACCAGCTTTATGTAGTAATAATCATAGGATGATGGCCAAGGCACTTATACTCAGTCCCTGCAGAGCTCAACTCAAAATACGTATCCTATCAGTACACTAGTTTTGTTGTGAGGCTAAGCAACAGTACAACACAAAAGTAGTCTAAAAGGCTATAGAACATTATTTAATCAGGGGCAATAACAAAATGTGTACAACAAAATTGTTTGTCATCACAAGAGCCACTCAGGTTTCTTTTTAACTACTGAGACACTAGACAGAATGTATATATCATACCCTAAAAATTATCGCGTGAGAAACCCAACAGTACTCCTTAAAGTGGATATTCCTAAAGTATATGTTATCAAAATTACATGGCTTATATGTCCCATGCTATTAGCTATACCTTTTTACAGAAGTAAAAACAATTTAAAACTGAGCATTGATCTAATGAAAGTAATAGTAAATACACAGTACAATCCACCCCCAAAAGAATAGGATTTTTTTGCCTGATTTCTAGTTTTAAGAGGAAAAAATTAAAAATACAAGCCAAGACTGAGACTTGCAGCTCATTAAAGCTGAGGTGATTTCCCCTATATAGAATTCTATTGATCTCCATAGTCCACACTAGACAAAAAGTGTGGTCAGGGAAGGGGGTGATGGATGCCTCTGCCAATAGCACTGAACAAACCTGTTAGCTAATTGCTACCAAAGACAATTATCCCCGCATTGTTTCATAATGGAAACACATTACAAAACTCTAATATACACACAGGGAAATTTGATGATTTGACTGCGGAGCCATGTGCATTGAATTTCATTGCCAAAGGCCAGCCAGGCCCATGCTCTGAAGGGGAAGAAAGTGTCAGAATATAAGCCACAGTAACTTAAAGTTCTTTAAGAAAAAAAAAAAAAAAAAAGAAAAGGAAGGAAAAAGAGAGAATGAAAAAGACGAAGAAAAGAAAGGAAGATAACCTAGCACCATCAGCAAATTAATTGACTTCTATAACCTGGCATTAATTTTAACATTTTCTGTCACTTTTTGAAATGATAAACCCTCAATTATGGTTTGTCATATAATCATAAAAGATTTTTGAAACCATTTTCTGTCCAGAGAAATATTTTAATACAGCATTTTTGACTGGCAGTCAGCCTACTGGCAAATAGGGAGTTAAAATGGTGCCTTCACAATAGCCTAGTATGATGATTAAAAATAACATCAAATATCTGTCATGATTTTACTCAGGAAAAAAAAAAAAAAACAAAACCTGACTCTGTAACAACTCACAGTGAAACAACCATTAACCCAACCAATTATAAAAGAAAAAGCTTCAAAATACTGTTATTTGATTATACATAATCATAGTGTAATTCAAGCATACAATATTTACATTCGCCTCCTTTCCAAGCAGCCACATTCTTGAAATACCCTTTCCTTGGTATGTTTCTAAATATGCTCATGTCCTTCTCCAGTGTATTCATGCAAGACATTTAATCCTAGCATTGGAATTATAGGATTCTGATATACAGTACACATCAAAATTATATTCAGTACTATTTAACTCTGCTGTATAAAATGGTACAAAATAAAAAGAAAAATGTACTGAAGATGTGCCAGTGTTATAAAGATAAATTAATGGCTACAAAATTTATGATCAACCTATTAACTTCATAATTCACAAGTCAATGAATTCTGTTTTACTGTGTTTGATACTGCTCTATATAGGCCAGTCTACCTGCTTCAGACTATGCTGACTACTATTTTGACAAGACCTGGATAGCAGTAGGTCCAAAGCAATCAGAAGGTTGACTTTGACAAATGGCGGTGCTGCTGCGAAGTTGAAAATAACACACATCCACTTTAATCTCTTTCTTGATTAAATCGAAACCATACCATTCTGACATCATGTGATTTGCTCATGAAGCATCACTGCAGGTTACTTTGGAGGCTACATCTATTGAAATGATATTGAATTTTTAGGGGAAGTACTTAATTCATTCAAATGAAACCTTCACAAGGTAACTGGGCCACCAGTCACTGGTAACTGCAGATTCAAAGAAAATCAAAGGGAAAAAATCCCTGACAAAATATAAAAAAATAAAAATCCAACATGTACTACTGAATGATGTTTTAGCAGGTATTATCTTCTACTTTCAAAGAGGGAAGATTATGTGCATAAAGCATATTCCAAAGCTTTTTACCTATTCTACCACAGCTGAGCTCCAAAGGTAAACATTATACTAGGTAATAAAAATGCAGAAGATGAAATTGTCTTTTTTACATGAGACTAGGCAAATATTTATGGGGCAGTTGACAAACTCCTGCCTAGTAAAAGAGCCAGCACTGAGAGCAATTATCCTGATATTCATGACTCACTTTGAATATCACATTGAATATTACTCATAAATCTTTTACGAGCACATCCCCAGAGCTCACTTAACAGCCGGTTTTAATCATGCAGTTGACACAGAGAAAATAACAAAATGTATTTTTTCAGTGGCAAATTAATTTAGGCTTGAACCTCCTTCTGTAGCTCTATTCTTTTCTTTTTTTCTTTTTTATTTTCTTGTAGGAAGACCAGTGGAATTCACCTTTGCATTTGGAAGTAGTATTTCTCCGGTCTTGCTGAATTAAAATAAAAAGGATGAATGTTTCTTTTAGAGCCAGTTCCTGACAATGGTTTTTCAAATGATGTATCTTATTCTATATACGAAGATGAATCAATTTTTTAGTTTGATACACATTGTCTATTTAGCTCAATGGAGAGGTTGAGTGTGGAATTTAGACAAAGAAGAGAGCATTATTCTGAAGAGTATTTAAGTTGTGGGTGGTCTTTTATATTGCATTTAATTGTCATTAACTGTTCATGATAGCTGTTTTGGAATCTGGCTCTCATTAAGTGACTTGAAATGCTGTGTAAATTATTTTTAAATTGGGGAAGGGAGTAAAAGAGTACCATTAGGAAAAAAGGGTAACTCACGTGGAGTTTCCTCGTGTTCCTGTAGAAACCTCTCCAGTATAAGCCGAGCCATTAATGAGGGCGCATAGTCCACCTTTATAAAACAGAAGTAGAAAATTAAAACTATCAAGTTGTGCGAGCAGTGGATACTCCAGTATTTTGTCAACACTGAAGAATAAGTCAATTTTAATCAACCATAGCAAGCATCATTCATTAAAATCTTTCCCACCCTTGGTGGCTTCCATTATAATAAAATTATAACAAGTATGGTTTGGGCTGTTGAAAAGAATAAATGGGTCAAATTTATTGAATATAACATTGGAGCAAAAAGGATGGAACAACTTAGAAAAAGCATTCGTCTAAAACAGTGAAATAGGCTTTTTTCATCTCTCCTCAATTTTTTCTGTTGGTAGGCCAATATAATTTTTTATTCAAGCCATGCTTCTTTCTATGCAACTGTCTATATTTATACTGTTCTGAATGCAATTTCAAATAATAAGCCCTTTTTGTTATTTAGTGACAGTTTTCAAAAACAGAGTCAAATGTCCTTATATGACAAATCCAAATAAGGATTTTACTGATTTTATCTTTAAAGACAACTGAAATTTTGGTATAAATTCCTTACATTTAAAATATTTTATTTGATAAAAGACAACTACATTGCAGAGATGTTAATAATAAATTACAACAATATAATATCTGCAACATAAGATCACCGTCCTTATCTGAAACACTACTTACCAATTTAATTAATACAGATCCCAGGGTGGTAACTTTTTAAAATAAAGAACCAGTCAGAAAACAAAGGATATTCAGTCCGACAGTCATTTTAATTAATAAAAAATGTATCTACTATTTTGTAAAGATATTGTCTTCTTTGGGGTTCTTAAATCTTTTATTAACCATTTACTTAATTTCACCAAAAAATAGGAACACACATTTTTAAGAACAATAATGCTTCCCTAAAACGAGTCTTTTTATCTTAGGTGGAAGACAGCAAACATTCCTCATATATTATCACCATGAATTTTTCCTGACAGGTTTTCAAGTCCCGTATTCATACCAAAATTTTATCTTGATTTAGTAACTAGACAAAAAGGCTGGCTTCATTTGTATGAACAGTTTTTTCAAATACGTATGTACTTGGATGCCCTTAAATTCCCCAAGTAGAAAGAAATGCTTTCCACGAAGCTGCTTATTCCTAGTAACCCACATCAGAGCTGACACATGAAAAATGGTGAAATTACTGAAGGTAGTCCAGCCTGAATAAGGACTACCTTATTAGTTCAGGTACTTGCATCTCCCTAATTTTCATATTAATCATGTGTCCATCTTTCTCTGAAATAGGGCCATCATGCTTCATGTCAGAATTTAGCATGTAAATAAAATGCATAGTGCTTCAAATCTCACTTGAAAATATTTGTGTGGAGAGAACAGAATGACTGATCTTATTATCACTAACGAAGTGTGAATTGCTAAAATGTTCAATTTTAGACTTGAAACTGGAAAAGTAGTATGAAGACATTTATAAAATCAATGATGACCACATACAGCCCTTAGCCCCCCAAAAAGATAATAAAAATACAATGCTCTTGTCTAAGAGAGTTGCTGCACCCTGTAATGTACCAATGCTATATATTTCTCATCAATTTTTATAGTTTCCCCTGATTAAATAAATATCAGCTCATAAAGTATTACCATCACATCAATTGTCACCAGATGCAAGTGTATGTTATCTAAGTATTACCTATCTGGAAAAAATGGCACCTTGGTTGTTTAGAAGCTATAATATGGTACCAGCCATTCCTAAATTTCCCTAATGCATTATCAATTTCATAGAAAAGTGCTATTCTTTCTGTACTAGTCTGTAGCCAAAACGGAGGAAAAGTCTTTAAACAACTACGTTTTCTCTTGGCTAAATACTGCTATATATTCATGGTAAATAAAAGGTTTATTGATGTAGGAGAAAATGTGTTGGTAGGTTAAATTTTTCCATATTACTAGAAGACTGAAACTGAGGTCAGCTAAATATTTAATGGATATAGAACTATCCATTAAAAATTCAAATGAATATAAATTGCTATGATATAAAACTTATATAATCAACATCATCATCTATATAGATGGGTACCATATTTGCATCACATTCTTTCTAGATGCTGTGTCTGGAATGCTGCTAGCTTATTCTTCTTTTTCATAAAAGACAATCACTAAATTCCTAGTTAAAGCTCAGATACCTCAAGTTACTAATAGCATAAACTTGTAACAAACAAGTCTAGATACATTTAAAAACCAGCCTGCTGGCCGGGCGTGGTGGCTCACGCCTGTAATCCAAGCACTTTGGGAGGCCAAAGCAGGTGGACCACAAGGTCAGGAGATCAAGACCATCCTGGCCAACATGATGAAACCCCGTCTCTGCTAAAAATACAAAAATTAGCTGGGCATGGTGGCACAGGCCTGTGGTCCCAGCAACTCAGGAGGCTGAAGCAGGAGAATCTCTTGAACCCGGGAGGCAGAGGTTGCAATGAGCTAAGATCACGCCACTGCACTCCAGCCTGGCAACAGAGTGAGACTCTGTCTCAAAAAAAGAAAAAAAAAAAGCAAAAAAAAAAAAGCACTCTGCTCTAGAAATGGAAAAAACAAAAAAAGAATAAAATACTTGTTTTCCTAGGAGGCGCACAGAAATTCATTCTATATGTTAACTATCCTATCTGATTGTGTAGACATTGCTTAGACTATTAAAACCATCTAGTAACTGATAGGTAATTGCTCATTTGTTGACTGCAGCAGTGTATAGCAGCAGACAGAAGCTGTGAGGGAAGCCATCCTTCCTTGCTAATATAACATGTAGAACTTGCTGCTACTGCAACACTTAATGCTCACAGTACCGAGTCATCTTTAATGCAAACACACATTTTCTGCCTTGCTTCTATGTTTTCCATTATAATGCAACGCAAAAACAGTGTACATTTCATTCCATCCCTACGAGGTTTGCATAAGCAGTTCCAAGTCAGACTAAATATTGTATTGCTCTTATTACAGTGGATAAATATTTTAAAGTTTAGGAATTAAATATTTTATTTTTTTGGTATGCTCTCTGCAACTATTATGAACTTTTCACAGCTTCTTCATTCATGGGAAATCTGTAGGGTTTCCCTTTTTAAATGTAAGGCTGTTATTTGTTTCCCCAAACAGAAGCAGATCAGAGTTAACGAATAAGTTCAATAAATCACTTCTTACTTGGTGTTATTAAGAACACTATGCTTCTTCATATAAAGAAGGAGACTTTTCTACAAGGCATGTATCCTTTATTATAATAAAAGTTTGCTAACAAAAAAATGAATCAAGTACATCTTTAAGTATACAATTTCTCTCTTCATTTTTATAACAGCAGTTTTTTTTTTTTTTTTTTTGGCATCCATCTCTTTACTTGACACAGGTATTTCTCACACTAAATTAAGACAACCTATCCTAAGAAAAGCATGTCCTGAGCTGTTTGGTTGAAATTTTCCACAAAATAAGAAACCAAGAGGCTGTTTATACATTTGCCTTAAAAGAAGTAGACTAATTATGTCAACTGATTTATTAATATGTGAAGTTCTTTGTCCAATTACTAAAAGTACAAAGAGATCAGGGAGCAATTTAAATGTCTAATGCACCTCAAATCCTTTTTTTTTCCAAAGGTAGTTATAATTGTAAGCAAAGTTACTCTAGATAGGCCCCTTAGGTTACACGCAGGTTTAAATAAAATCATAACAATAACATTACCTCATTGGCCAGGTCCAGGAGCACTGGGGCAGCTCCATTTTTCACCACTCCATTCAGGTACCTAGACAAGACAAAGCCAAGTGGTAATGCAGTGACAAGAAAAGGCCAGCATAGACTTGTCAGCATCCCCTGTGTGTATACATGTTTCTCCTGGACAAATGCCACGCTCAACTCTAGTTAAAGTAAGCTACTTTCATAGGAAAGCACTGAAGGGAAAAACATAACACAAACAACTCACCTCAAAACCACTGGCAACTAAGAAGCTGAAGGTGGGGGCAGAAGGTGTAAATACTTAGGTCTCCCTTGTTTTCTTTCACCTCCTACCATATAAAGTGAACAAGAGGAACTATCCATATCACTCTGCCTTGTCTCTACCACAGACAACCATTGCATGGAAAGGAAAGAAGTTGACTTATATAGTTTGAGAAAAGCATTCATGCACCCATCTTGCCTTTTCCTTTACCTGTTTCACAGGGCTGCTTGACACCTTATTAAGAAAACGATGGAACAGACATGTCATCAGTGGGTCAGCACACCTGTGACAGGCAATACAAGCCATCACCTTATCTGCCCTAGATTTGTGGAAGAACCTCCAGCTCTCATTATCCTCTCACTCCACTGGAAAAAAACACACAACTCCCCAAAATCCCCAAACAAAACAAAACCCCAGACATGGAAGCTGGGGGGATTTTTTTTTTTTTTACAAAAATTTGAATGTGTCATTCCCCTTGTTATAACACTTCAAGGCCCCACATTAAATCTCAAGATTAAATTATAACCATTTAACAGCTCTTGTAAGGTTCTTCATAATCTGGTTTCTACCTACTCTACTCTGCCAGCCTCATCTCTAGTCACTGTCTCCCGCTCCCATCCCTCACCTGGATAACTCATGATTCAATTCAGATGTCACCTTCTTCGATCCACTACCATATAAGTTAAGTGCTCCTCATATGCAATCGAGGAATACCCTGTACATCTTTCTATCATGTAACGTAGCATATTGTATTTGCCTATTACTTGGCTACCTCAAACCCATCCCCCACTGTAATGTTGAAAGCTTCATGAAGGTTGGAGAATTGTATTTTATTTAATTTATTATGCCTACCAAGTACTTTGTTTATAGTAGGTGATTATATAATAAAAAATCACCTTATACTTTTCCTTTAACAAATGAAAAATTAAATAATTTTTAAAAACCATATTGGACAAGAAAGCAGAATTAGGTATGGAAATTTTCCCTACAGTATATTATTTAAGTGAATAAGCTCTGGGTATTTGTCTGACAGTAATAAAGTCAACAGGTGAGGTCTTCCATATAACTGCCAGAAGTAGGTACTAAATTATATTATTTCATGAGTATATTTATAAAGTTGTATAATTTTCCTGTAAGCAAAGTGGGGTAACAGCAAATTATTTAAGGTGGGGAGAACCTCTGGATCATTGTAACTTCAAAATAATTCTAACAAAGCAATTTTCCACATATTGGGGCCACCCTTGAATGTATTATTTGGGAAACCAATTGGAAAATAAGGACGTTCAGAAGCAAGAGGAAAAAATAAATAAATAAAACAAGGCAAATGTGCTTTAGAGAAAGGTCCCTGGGAAACAGGTCCGTTAAGAACCTCACATCAATTTCTCACAAACAAGGCCACTGCACTGATACCACCCAAGGAACCAGCAATCAGTTCAGTCAAGTCAGACCAGCTGATTGTGTGCCTGTAACCACCAAGAGTGCGTATTTACTATGGTTTCTGATTCTGGGTCAGCGTATTTAAGCCTATACCAATATTGGGATATCTTTACAGCTTTCTACTTCAGTTTCAGTTACCCGACAAGTATTTTGGAGCGCTATGTGTCAGGCCTTATTCCAGGTTCTGAAGAAGCAACAGCAGGAAAAAAAACCATTCATGGTCCCATCATCACAGAGATTATATTACAGTGGTGACACAAACAATAAAAAGGCAGGGAGATAAATATACAGTATAATGGTATATGCTAGAATAAAATGTAAACTTAGATGGGTTGTTCAGGAAGCCCCTCTCTGAGGGAGTGACACTCGAGTAGAGATCAGCATGAAAAGAAGGAGCATGCCATGGTGAGAGCTGACTGCAAACAGTGAAAGAGTAGCAGCTAGATGCCAGACTACCTTTTATACCAGAGATCTGTTGCTTTAAGTCAAAATGACATGGCTTCATGTAAAAGTTGCATCAATCATTATCCTGCTAATGACCAGTGAAGAACTTCTATCAAGTTTAAAGAAACAGAAGATGATTAAACCATAACTACAATCCTCTGTATCTATATAGTCTGGATAATATTAAAAGCATGACCATACTTAATACTGTGGAAATTCCTAATTATGAGGTTGTTAAAGCTTCCCAGTTGGTCATATAAAGAAACCAAACCCCAGGGCACTGATAAAACCCATCTGGGCTCTCTTAGCTGGTAAACAATAAAGCTATAGAACCCTGAAATAGAACCCTGATCCCTCGAGGCCTAGTGAGGTGCCACATACATTGAACATGGTGGATCTGCTCTAAATTTATTTGTTTTCCAATCTGTTTCCCAACTATACCTGTAGCACCTCATAAGTGGTAGGAAAAAAAATTAAGTTTAATTTAAGGTTATATTTGTCTTTTCTGGAAACTTTAATTATCCCCCACATCAAAGTGACAGATCAGGCTCTATTTAAATTTTCAGATATGTAATCAAAGGGACATACTAATTACTGAAAATATTCCATAAAGACATAATTAGAAAATCCTAATGGTACCTTTCTCTGCATCCTCATCATGATCTTGTGCAAACTTATAGCATTGCACTTTTCACACTGGTATAATGGTTTGCTTCTGTCTCCAGTTACCCTGAATGCTCTTTGGGGTAGGGCTACACAAATGAATGTTGAACCTTCATCCAACCCTGGCAAACATCCAAATTGCAACTGGGATATACAGATGTCATTCTCAATACTACATTAAGGTGACGTGGGCTCCATTCCTAATGCCCAGGAGAATTCATGTGTCTCTGCATTCTTGCTAGCATTGAGTTGATACCAACTAAGAATTCAAAGACTGTATTTTTTTTTATTTTTTTTTTGAGATGAAGTCTTGCTCTGTCACCCAGGCTGGAGTGCAGTGGTGCAATCTCGGCTCACTGCAACCTTCGCCTCCTGGGTTCAAGCAATTCTCCTGCCTCAGTCTCCCAAGTAGCTGAGACTACAGGAGCGTGCCACCACACCTGGCTAGTTTTTGTGCTTTTAGTAGAGATAGGGTTTTGCCATGTTGGCTAAGCTGGTCTCGAAATCCTGATCTCAGGTGATCCGCTTGCCTCTGCCTCCCATCAAAATCTGTATTTTACATGATTTCATCATGGTTAACAGAAATCTTATGATATCCAGATAGTAGAAAATGTTTTCTGGCTGGGCACGGTGGCTCAGACCTGTAATCCCAGCACTTTGGGAGGCCAAGGCGGGTGGATCATTTGAGGCCAGGAGTTTGAGACCTCCCTGCACAGCATGGTGAAACCTTGTCTCTACTAAAAGCACAAAAATTAGCCCAGCATGGTGGCGCGTGCCTGTAGTCCCAACTACTCAGGAGGCTGAGGCACAAAAATCTCTTGAACCTGGGAGGTGGAGTTTGCAGTGAGCCAAGATTGCACCACTGCACTGCAGCCTGAGTGACAGAGAAAGGTTCTGTCTCAAATAATAAATAAATAAATAAATAAATAAATAAATAAATAAATAAATAAATAAATAAAAATTTTCTCAAGCTTTTGAATTATTGAAGAAATTTCCTCAATTCTCCATGTTGTATATAAATAGACACAGCTCGAGAGTTTACTTTGAAAATATCTCTATTCTTTCACACTGTACTAACGCCATTTTATTTCTAAACAGGAAAGATTCTTGGTGAAATTTGTTTAGGTCCGCCTAAATTGGTGCACATGAGCATAAGTGCACATGCACACAGTTGGTCAGATCTGCAAGTCCCCATCAATAGCAAAGTTTAGAAATATTGTCTCCATTTCCTCCCTTCTCCCAGCACACTGGCGGAGGAGCCAGCTTTAGCAGCGTTAGAAGATCAGATCTACAGAACTTTATTCAGATGTTCACATGTAAAAAAGGTTGGCTTAAATATGATACTGGTAACATATGTGATAAAAATAGTTTCTGAAAATTTGGACCACTTTTTTGTTCAATTAGCACCATCTGCTTTACACTCATTATGCCCCATTTACAATGCTAAAAACCAACAATACATATATAAGACACAGTACCTGCCTTCCACTGTCCTTTTTGGTGGGAAAAGAGCTGTGTATGTAAGTATGTAAAATGCAGCAAGAGAAGTGCTAACAGAGGTATGTCTATACAGAGTGCTGTGGGAGTTCCAAGAATTATCGATTCGGGGTGTCCGGGGCAACTTGTTTATGCAGTAGTCTAGAAATAAACTTATCATCTTTACTAGTTTGTAGGGAAGCAGAAGGTGTTCCAAGCTGAGAGAAGACACTCAGTGACAGGGTTGTGGATCATCTTAGGCCACAGCATGGAGAACTTTGCCTTATATTTGAAATGAGTATACATTAGTTTCATCTTAGATATAAATGAGTCTTTCACACTCAAAAAACATCATAAAATGGGCCTTCTCTGAGGACCTTTTAAGGCTGATTTCACCCATAGGATGTGTATTTGTTAGCCCTCCTGTAGCAAAGCTAGATGATGACATATAGCTTCTGTATAAAGTTGTTTTAACTGGCAAATAGGCATCAGGAATGGAGCCCAGGTCACCTTAATATAGTATTAAGGATGACATCCTTATATCCCAATTGCAATTCAGATCTTTGCCAGAGTTGGCTGAGGGTCCATCATTCATTTGTTTTTGTGTAGCCCTACCCCAAAGAGTTTTCAGGCTAGCTGGAGACAGAAGCAAACCATTATACCAGTGTGAAAACTGCAATGCTGTAAGTTTGCACAGGATACTAAGAGGATGCAGAGAAAGGTACCATTAGGATTTTCTGATTATGTCTTTATGGAATATTTTCAGTAATTAGTATGTCCCTTTGATTACATATCTGAAAATTTAAATAAAGCCTGATCTGTCACTTTGATGTGGGGGATAATTAAAGTTTCCAGAAAAGATAAATACAACCTCAAATTAAACTTTTTTTTTCCTAGCACTTATGAAGTGTTACAGGATATAGCTGGGAAACAGATTGGAAAACAAATACATTTACAGCAGATCCACCCTGTTCAACATATGCAACCAGCAAAACATTTCTAGACAGTAGTTTGGCAATATGTAATACTTTTTTAAAATGTTCACATTGTTTGCACCAATAATTACATATATAGAAATATTAAGAAACTAATTCAAAAGCAGACTCATGCATCAAGATGTTTATCACAGTTTTATTTACAATAATAGAACATTGGAGGCCAGGTGCAGTGGTTCACACCTATAATCCCAGCACTTTGGGAGGCCGAGGCAGGCGGATCACAAGGTCAGGAGATCGAGACCATCCTGGCAAGCACGGTGAAACCTGTCTCTATTAAAAATACAAAAAATTAGCCGAGTGTGGTGGCAGGCGCCTATAGTCCCAGCTGCTCGGGAGGCTGAGGCAGGAGAGTGGTGTGAACCCAGGAGGCGGAGCTTGCAGTGAGCTGAGATTGCACCACTGCACTCCAGCCTGGGCGACAGAGGGAGACTCCGTCTCAAAAAAAAAAAAAAAAAAAAAATAGAATATTGGAAACATATATGCTCGACAAAGGAATAATTCAGTAAATTATGATACTTTCATATGATGAAATAAGGCAATCAAAAAATGTTTACAAAACGCTTTTTACAAAATAATATTATATCATATACATTTTTCCAGGTGTAAAACTCAGGATTCACAATTGCTTATATAATATGACCTCATCAATATAAAAATGGGCTGACAAAAGACTAAAATGAAAAATGCCAGTAGAGATCTCTGAGTGGCACAATTATGGGCAATCATTCATTCCTTTTTAATACTATCACAGCCGGGCACGGTGGCTCACGCCTGTAATCCCAGCACTTTGGGAGGCCGAGGCGGCCGGATCACAAGGTCAGGAGATCGAGACCATCCTGGCTAACACGGTGAAACCCCGTCTCTACTAAAAATACAAAAAATTAGCCGGGCGTGGTGGCGGGCACCTGTAGTCCCAGCCACCCAGGAGGCTGAGCCAGGAGAATGGCGTGAGCCCGGGAGGCGGAGTTTGCAGTGAGCCGAGATTGCGTCACTGTGCTCCAGCCTGGGCGACAGAGTGAGACTCCGTCTCAAAAAAAAAAAAAAAAAATACTATCACAAATATGCTTAATTTTCACAATAGCTGAGTATTACTTTATAAAAGAAAAAAATTAAATTAAATTGCCATTAACATTTTCAAATTGCTTAAATATATTTTGATATAACAAATACAATTTGGCTTTATTCTAATCTGCTGGAAAACAAACAAAAACCTTTTAAAGCCAATTTACCTTAGCACAGACAGGAACATTTGACCTGCACATTTCCAACAAAAGGCTACTGAGGTCAATCCATCTGAAAGGTAACAACATGGCCTGTCCCTAAGTGCAAAGTGCAGGGCAGAAAGTCAGACAGCAGGTTGGTAAAGTCAGAAAGTGGTCAGACTGCTTTCTTCTGAGACTGCCCATTACGGTCTAACTTCATGTTTTTGTTTCAAATGCTGTAACTCCTCGAAATAATTGAGACTGTCATATTTAAATAAATTGAAAGAAATCTATTTATGTATTCTCATTATTACCCACTCAACTGTTCATCATTGGGTATACTTAAAGGTATTTATTTCTGGGCCAGGCACAGTGGCTCAGGCGTGTAATCCCAGCACTTTGGGAGGCTGAGGTGGGAGATTACTTGAGGCCAGAAGTTCAAGAACAGCCTGGGCAAAGTAGCAAGACCCTGTCTCTATAAACTTTTTTTTTTAATTAGCTGGCCATGGTGGTGTGCACCTGTAGTCCCAGCTACTCAGGAGACTGAGGCAGTAGGATTGCCTGAGGCCAGGAGGTTGAGGCTGCAGTGAGTTATGATCGTGCCACTGCACCTCAGACTGGGTGACAGAGAGAGACACTGTCTCAAAAAAAAAAAAAAAAAAGATATTTATTTATTTATGGCCTATACTACCCAGATAATCCAACAAAAGTATGTTCATACTTCAACAATTAGATATACTTTTTAATGAAACTTAGATTTGAAATAGCAGCACCTAGTGATCCTAAAAATCATGTATTAATAACTAAAACAACCTCCTTACAATGAGGCAAATGAGTATCAGAAGGCAGCCCCATTACCTGTCAGTGGATCTCCGAATTTCCAGGAAAAGAGCACATTTTCCTTTAAAATGCTCTATTTTCCTTTGTATACATTACAAGCCTTTAAAATCCAGACATAAAATCATACTTTTATATAACAGCCTAGGACTATAATGTTTACAAACAAGAATGTATTTTTTGGCATGTAAATAACCTTCAGTGCTTCTTTGAAGAGTCTGGATGCCAACACGGTTGCAGGCTTCACAGCACTTCATGGGCCATTTTTAATTTCATATGTATAATTTAGGCTATGACTTTAATTTGAATGTCAATTTCACCAAGAAGGTTATGACTTTTGAATAAATCATCAAACTTTACAAAGTCTTGTTTAGAGAGGATCTCTCCTAGACACAAAACTGTGTGTGTGTATGTGTCTGTGTCTGTGTGTGTGTAATGAGTGCATGTTATCTTTCTTTGACAGGTATTACTACTCAAAACAAAGCATATCTTTTACCACATATAGCAGTGAATAATTTTTTTTAAAAAATCTAACTTCTGTGACTTTCCTGTTCAATATCCCTTTCTTGATTCTAAATAAAATGATTACCGAAACATGACACCAATATTTTATCCACATATTTATTTCATTCATAAAATTTTTATGCATAAAAATCATTCATCTAAAATCAGTGGTGTCATTCTCACCACAGAAAGGTTCATCTGTCAATCTTAAGTATAATAATTTAAGAGCAGATTTCAAACAGTTTTCATTGCCAATGTGCCCCTGAAAGATTTAAGAAACCAACTAACAATTTCTAATGCAAACCATTACCATTTAGTGTTATAAATTATTCAGTCATATTACAATGACAATACAAATTTTAAAATAAAAAAACAGAGCTATTTTAAATATTGTTTCAGAACAAGAAGTTGAAATTTATTTATAATAAATTAGGCTGAAATTAAAATATCTCCTGGATACTATGCTGTTGATTTAATACCCAAGGTTGTCTTTTAAAAATACAAAATCCCCTTTAAAATGTGACCGTTATACACTACAATATATCTCCAAATGCCTTTACTTGATACATCTTTTTTCATTTCTAAAATGGATATCCTAATACCTATGATGCAAAATAAAATGACATCCAAATTCAATCTTCTTTTTTCAACTTGCTAATCTAAGAAATGAAAATTAGTTTGAGAACTTTCAAATATATGTAGATATATGTATATATGAGCATATGCATTTAGACAGGATATGCACTTATAATAAGTTTCAAGTAGCCAACTGAGATTTCATAATATTATAACTACATCTCACATAGTATGGGCACACACACACACACACACACACACACACACACACACAAGTCAAGACAGCCTTACCATACTCTTTAGATCTACAAAACAAAGCATTTGAAAACTCATTCAAAAACATACTAAAAGTTTTGAATAAAATACTTAAAACACAATGTCTTGGGATATGACATAGAAAATTAATAACCTAACTTATTCATAATTATTATTACAATTAATAGGTACTATGATACCCTCTAGTGGGGCAGGAAGGTCATACCTCTGGTAATAACTTTCAATTGCTTCCGAAGTATGATGTTTGGCATGTGTTCTTTTAATGTGTTTCTGAAAGAAAAAAAACAACAACACAAAAAAATCTTTGATATGTCACAGATGAGGTTCAAAACAAGAATGACATTATTTCTTGAGCCCAGTGACTAGCACATAGGGAACACTGAATAACAGCTTGGGAATTGTGGTGATGGCAGGACTTCTTTTCCTTCTACTCTATGATCCTATGCATTTTAATCTCTATTGCTTGGCTGGGATGTCTTCAGACTGTACCACAAGGTACGGTATATATGTAAAAGCCAACAGGGTCATAGTAATTGAATCTAAATAAGTTTGCTTAGGGCTACAGAGGGCAAAGAAAAACTTGTTCCCTCTTTCAACCTTTGTATTAATTTTCCCTCGATTCAATTCCATCTAAGTCCTCTGCACTCTAGTTTTACAATCCAATTGCCATTTTTAACCAGGAAGAACATTGCTTAAAAACAACTTATTTGAAAACTACAAAAAGTAATTCCATAGAGACTTGCCACTTGACTGACACCTGTCATCTCATGATAAATGACTCCATTTTCTGCCTCTCTTGCCTTCTGCCACTCCAGCAATGGTCATTTATCATCATCTCTGTCAGCAATGGAAAGCAGCACTGACAGTGCAAGTCAGCAAACATTTAGCACATGGAACCACGCAACACAGGGAAATTATTATTGTCAGAATAATAATGGTTTAGCATAATTTATTACAGGTCCACCAAATAAGCAAAGGCTAGATGTTATTAGACAGATGGATGGGTAGGCTTGGCAGGCCTCCACCGAGACGCAGGCGGTGCTTGATGTGGAAAGGAGAACATCCTCCAACCCAATCAGAGAGCTGGCAGTTCAATTACAAAGAAATAAAGGGACATTCATCATTCAATTAGGCACCTGTCAACCCTCACAAAGGAGAAAACTTCTAACCTGGTACTCCTGGGAGAAGATGCTCAGCAGAGTGGCCTGCGATTGACTGGAACAAATAAAAGAAGGACAAAGTTAATTACTGGAGTGCACGGCAAAGAAACAAAAGAGAAAGGAGCTTCAAAGGTAGGCCTGCTGCCCTGTAATCTAACAGAACATGAAAACAAGTGTGGAAAAGTTGTTCCAGATGAACACCTCAAACAAAGGCTTCCTGCCGCTGGGTCAAGGAGAGAGAAAAAAGGAAAGGGGAAAATATGGATAGGGCTCAAAGCAACTATCACATTATTTTGATTTTTTTAAACTTTAGAATCATTGTAAATCATATTTGTAGAATGCAATGGTGTTAAAAGGGACCACAAGAAAGCAAGGCTTATCTCCATTAATAAGTGACACAGTTCAGTCTCATAAACAGTAGAGAACATGCACTTCATTCATTGAGAATGTTCTGAAATTAATTTTGTTAGCAGACAGGTATTCTCCTCTACAGGTATCCCAGTTTCAGGGAGAAAACTTTGGTCTTTACTAGAAGTAGCACAGTGGTCACTGGAACATTCCCACCGATACTGGCGTGCTATGAAAATACAAGCTTTCACAGCAGGAAGCAGAGGTCCTTGGAGTGAATCATTCCTAAAGACTGCCCTAAGCCTTATTCGTCTAAGACAACACACAATGTCAAACACCTGGCAATGAAGCAACCTGAAAAATGTTCTTCCCAAGTGGGAATTTTCCTTTTGCAATTGTTAACATTTAGAAGTGGAATGGAATTTTTCTTTCTCTAAAAAGCAATCAATACCCCACTGCTACTCTTTTCGACTGTCCTTTACAGACACGTCTAACTTATCGTATCTTGAAAACAATTATTTCTATTTTCCTACTAAATGCTATCTGACTAGATTACATTTTAGATAATTCGACTTTTATAGTATGCCAAAATACTGTGAATACATTTTTTTCTATTTATAAATGAAAAAATCTCTTAAGCTCATCACAGGTAATTTGGGGAATGTGAAATAAAGTGACACCATATTTGTTTACTCATTGTCTAGGTGTCGTCATCTTCTGGATGACATTACAAATTTGGTTTCTAACTTTCCACCCTTACCAAATTACAAGAGTAGGTTAAGAAAAAAATACCCTAAATGTTTGCCAAGGAAACTGATACATTATTAAAAGAATATTTCAATAACTCAAAAATGCAGAGAAATGATTAAATACAATAATAAATCCATTATAGTCTGTTTTTTTCAATTTCCCTTTAAAACTGAAAAGCCCCTTTGAAAGAGCCAATTTTATATAAAATCTTCCTATTTTGCCTGGCTTGACCGAGCTTAACATCCAAATCACATACCCTAGTAGGGTTGCTGACAATAATCTTCTGGGGTGGGAGGGAGGCAAAATGAAGCCCAAATCTTTGTAAACCCTTAATAAATTAATGTTAGATATTTATGTGCCATAAATAGACCCCCTCCTCACTGTATAGCAACCATGTATATTATTAACCATCTAATGGTACACAACATGTCATTCTTTGTGCTTCAAAAAAGATGATAGAAATAAATGTATTTGTAATGAGAAAGTTAGGGACCAATGACCAATGAAAAGAAAACTAAACTGTAAATAAAACATAACATAACTGTAGATGCCCAGAATGGGAAGAGGCAGTTGGAGAAATAAGTTCAAGAATAAATAGTTCAAAATGAGAAGTTGGTCAGGAGTTGAGAGTACTGTATAAGCCAAGGATAGAAAAACGTCTTTAGCTAGAAAAATGTCTTCAAACTGCTTAGAATTCAATTCAGCTAAAACCATGGACAGAGCCTGTGAAGCAACTCAGTTTTCTATGGCCGAGAGGGTTAGAGTGATTTTTGCCAGCTTACACTGGGGGTAAAAACTGGCTAGAACTATTAATAAAAAGAGAAAACCACTTACGTATACATAGTAACAACAGAAAGACAGATTCGGGTCCACAATGTTTTGGTTTTGTTTAACTAATTCAAAGCTGTAGAGAATAAAGTGAACTTTGCTAGGTAGTCTGCCAGCCAACTATCTGTTTCTGTATGTGCTAACCTTATAGAAGAGTGTTCTGACCAAATGTCACACCATAAGGAGCAGGAAAGTAGTTTTAGTACAACCAAGACATTGACTTCAGTGTATATTATTTGTACTTTCTTCCAACGTGTTAATGCTGAGAAGGGACACCGGAGGGAAATACTGGGCAGGTGGGGAGAGGATCAGAGTCCCATGATCTCAAGGCTATCGTTTTTAGGAACTCACCACCTCTACCCTGCGCCCACTGTACTGTCCCACCGTGTTTGATCTGTTTCGGCCAAAGGGAACAGAAGTTACAGAATAAATTCAACTTTCACTAGGTTCACAAGAAATGTGGTTGCCAGCTAAAGAGGAGAGGAGAAAGATTCTGTGCAACTGAAAGGTCTACCTTAAACATCACAGTCCAACATTCAACAGTACCACAGTGCATCTACAATGTCCCAAGGTAACACGTATGGGAAAATATGCCATCAGAATCAAAAAACTAAACAAGGTGGACGGGAGTTGATTTAGAAGAAACTTTCAAGTACGCACACAAAAGTACACACATAAAAAAGGCAAAAAATCAGAACACTGTCAAGTACTCACATTTTTTTTATACAGAATGAAGTAAATCATACCCTGAATCTTTACACTTTATATCACTTAGCATATATGGGGTTTTAAATTTACATAATCAAAAAGGCAGTCATTTAATTTGTACCAAATACCCAGGATGTAGTATTAAAACCCCATCAAAACGGTTTTGCTTGTATTTTTCCCATGCTATCTCCCAGCTTTAGCTCCGCACCCTACAGCTGTCTGGGTAAAGGAGAGCATGTGAGTGGACCCAAAGAATGGCTAGGTAAAGCCCTGTCCAAGTCTAGAACAGCAACAGCCATGCTGCAGCAATGTGGAAACAGACCTGAAGAAAAAACTAGCACTGTGAGGATGGCAGACGGAAGATGGAAAGAGCTTGGGTCCTTGAGGACACTGTGGAACTGCTGAAGAGACCATGGAATTGAGCTGACCAGCCTCCATTCTTATTCTGTGTAATTATACATGTCTATTTTTTTAAATCTCCAAACCAAAGAAATAAAACTCTTCCCAGGCTTCTGTGTTCTCTAGTAAGGTGGAGGCATGATGAAGGGCTTTGAGACAAGGTGCTCCATAATGGTGGCACATGTACAAGATGGAACACTTGAGAGGGATTGTCCATTTCCATAATTTCTAGTTCTCCCCTTAGCTGATGGCTATAATTGGCTTCCCTAAAATTTTTCCTCTGTCTGTGCCTGACTCACTAAATTGACGTGCCTAGAGATCCTAAACTGGTGTGTGATTTTCCCATATAGAGTTTAAACATTAACGGGGTACTATTTCTTCTCATGTTATATTGCATTCAACGTTTTTCAAATGCCTGATATAAAAACAGGCAACAAACTAGTTCCTCATGTGATATTTAACTAAATGTGCTCCCAAGTCCACCCAGCTAAGATACTCGGTAACATGAAAGAGCCTCAAAGAGTTGGGAGAGTGTAGCACAGATTAAGAGGAGAGCTGAGCACAGACTTAATTGCAATGCAACATTCATGCAAGGGTAAGGTCCTTATGTTTTCAGATGGACAGCTAAAGCATGCAGAACCTTAAGAGAAGACATCACGTATTTTATGTTCCTCCTCTTCTTGAGTATGCAATCTCTGAAAAAGACCACAAGGAAGTAAATACCTTTACCTTAAAGCTCCTTTTCTATAGAATCTAGGAAGCTTAAATGTGTACACTCTACTGGGCTCAACATTCTCTGAGAAAAATAAATATTATTTCTGGAGCTTGGGAAGAAGCAAACCAATTAAAGAAAGATAAAGCAGGATACTCCTACAAAGCATTATACTTGGATATACTTGGACATCTCACAATTGCTAGGCACAACCTCTCTAAACCTGTGAAGAATACAATGGAACACCAGCTGTCTGTAGTTAATGATTCAGAGTGCTGGTCAAGGCGTATTTTCTATAAAAGCAATGCAGCTACAATCTCTTGACCTCCCCCAACGCCCCCTGCCACACACACACATACCACACACAAATTTGAAATGTAGAGCCATTTTTCTCTCTAAAATTAAAACAGAATTCAACAATACTACACAAACTTTGATATAATACTACTACAAACTTTGCTTATTTTTTAGGAACAAAATGCAAAATGGAAATCTGGAGGGAGATTACTGATACACTGGGAAATTACTGAGGGGGGAAAAGGGAAAAATCTGTAAACTAAATTCAAGACATAAAGAAAAATGTATCCATCCTATCTCCCACCCTATGTCTTCTCTTCCTAATTTCCAACTGCATATCAAGGATGCAAACATTTTATGCCTAACCACAGCAAATATCCCCATAAATGATTAGGTAGATGGCAACATTAAGCTTAGTAGTAATCAACTATAAAAAAAAAGTTCTTAATAACTATAGGTCAAATATATAATTGAACGTCAGTATCTGTTGGGGGGACTGGTTTCCGGACCCTCATGGAAATCAAAATCTGTGGATGTTCAAGTCACTTACATAAAATGGCACAGTATTGCATATAACCCATGCACATTCTCTGGTATAATTTAAATCATCTCTTGATTACTGATAATACCTACTACAGTGTAAATGCTGTGTAAACAGTTGTGAATACTGTATTGTGTTTTTTTGAGGGGGGCAGTTTTTTTTGAGACAGAGTCTCGCTCTGTCACCCAGGATGGAGTACAGTGGCGCAGTCTCGGCTCACTGCAACCTCCGCCTCCTGGTTCAAGCTATTGTCCTGTCTCAGCCTCCAGAATAGCTGCCACCACGCCCGGCTAATTTTTGTATTTTTAGTAGAGACAGGGTTTCACCATGTTGGCCAGGCTGGTCTTGAATTCCTGACCTCAAGTGATCCCCCACCTTGGCCTCCCAAAATGCCGGGATTGCAGGCGTGAGCCACCACGCTGGGCCTGGTTTTTTATTTTTATTATTTTTTGTTGTTGTAGTGTTACTTTTATTGCTTTTTTTTTCCCCAAATATTTTCAATCCATTGTTAGCTGAATATGCCAATGTGGAACCCATGGATACAGAGGGTGAGCTGTATATATATGAAAAAAGTGGTTACTGCCCCAGGCTTTCAACTACTTTTGCTGGGAAACTGAAGATAAATCCAAACGGCTCTATAACTACCTTTGCACTTAATTTTATCCCCACAACAATCTTCTGAGGTAGGTACTGCTATCCTCCTTATTTTAGAGATGGGGAAATGAAGGAAGAGAAGTTAAGTAAAATACATAATTAAACAGCTAGAAGAACAGTAGACCTGGGAATCAAAATTTATATCCAATTCCAGAGCCCAAAGTCTTAATCCCAATGCTAATCTGCCTTCTTAACAGTTCCCAGAAATGAGTTCTGCAAATCATGTATGCTAATATCCCTGCTTAAGCATTTATATGATGTGACATTATACTCCAAACAACCCTGAAATGTGGGGCATGTGGCTTTTTTGCTAGAAAATTGAAGGCACAGGAGGTCAAGTGTTTTGACCAAATTCCATGGCTTTAGACATTATTTCCTTTTTAAGAAATCAAATTGCAGTTTTTCTTTAACTTCATAAAAAATGTTGTTCTTTTATGTTTTTAAAGATAAAGGAACTACTGACTGCAGAAAACAGTCAAGGATTAAAAGACTGTGTGGTAATTTCCATTATTCTCCCTGCAGCAAAGGTATATTTTAACCACCACTATTGCCTGAAGTGTCTCTATCTGATTGCATATGTCTTCTGCTCAAATGTTATTCACTTCATATTAAATATAAAGCAGCTTTAAATTTGTTCCTGAACCAGGCAGGCAAATATAAATAATCCAATCATCTTCTCTATAGAGGATGCCGGGGCCCTCTGTAAGTGTTAATTTTATAAAACAATATTCAATGAAGAGTTTCCTAGTTATCCAATGGTGCATCTTCTGCGTAAAATTCAGATGTCCACTCTTAGAATTCATTCTGGACTATAATTTTCCTGTGTTTTTGCTCTATGTCTGATGTGTATGAATCTGTTTGTGTGTATCTATATACACACACATATACATTTAAAAATTGTGTGTTAAACATACTTTTTTATAACATGCTTTCATTATATAAGATACTAACATTTATCCATGTCATTATATATTCCTTTTTAAAAATTATTTTTATTGGAAATAAAACACAAAAACCCACGTGGAACAAATGCACAGCCCAAAGAATATTTTTTTAAAAAAATATAACCACTTAGGTTAACAAACAGAACACTGCCAGCACCCCAAAAGATAACGCATCCAATCACTACCCTCCTTCCCTCTCACAAATGAGCCACTTCTGATCTTTCCTAGTTTTTCTTGATAGTTTTACCACCCAAATATGTCCCTTAGGTTCTACAGGTTAGTTTTGCCTGTCTGTAAACTTCATATTAAGTAGATTACACAGCATGCACTCTGCATCTGGCTTCTTTCACTCACCAATATGTCTGTGAGAGTTAGCCATGTTAATTTAAGTGTAGTTAATTCATTTTCATCACTTATATTCTATCGAATGAGTATACGCCAAATTTATCTATTCTATTGTTGAATATTACTACTGTGGACTCACTCCTGGGTGAGTCTCTTGGTGTACATTCACACGCATTTCTGATGGGTATAAATGCAGGAGAAGAATTCTGGGCCATCTGACATGCACCTCTCCACTTCAGCAGATACTGTCAAACAATTTTTCAAGTGTTTGTAACGACTTTAAACTCCCACCAACACTACAGAAGAGTTCCCATTGCTGTACATCCTCATCACACTTTCTCTCAATCCATGGCTTGCCTTTTCATTTTCCTTGTGGTACCTTTTGAAGTACAAAAGTTTTTTCAGTTGATGAAGTCCAATTTATTCTTTTATTTTGTTTTAGTACTTTTTGTGTCTTGTCTAAGAAATTTTTGCCTACCCACATTCATGCAGATATTTTCATATATTTTTCTAGAAGATTAATAGTTTCGGCTTTTACGTTTAGGTGTATGATTTACCTTCAATTAATTTTGTGTGTTAAGGAGGGGATCACAGTTTGTTTTTATTATTTCCATACAATTATAAAATTGATCACACACGTTGGTGCCTCTGGGAGGTTAAATATCTGAGAATCTATTTTGGGACTTTCTAATCTGTTCCACTGAGTTGTATGTTTATCTTTACATAGGTACCACACCATTTTGATGACTGTAGCTAAACCAGGTACATTCAATGTAAGTACTGATATATTCAGGTTTAAATCTATCATCTCACTAAATGCTATTGTCTTACCCACTATATGTAATGTTTCTCTCCATTCTTGCGTACTTTTCAATTGATTCAATGTTTATTCACTACTTTTCCTCTTGCAACTTAAAAGTTACATACTCTTTTACTATTCTTTTAATAATCACTCTAGAAAACCATGCTGCCTCCTCAATGTATCAAAATTTATTATTGATTGGTGATTTATTGCTTTCTGGAAAATATAAAAACACTACAACATTATTGAAAGGTCCCCTTCCTGGAATGTAGGATATTACTGAAATTGTCTTAAGTCTGTATATTTCTTAAATCTCAAAAGACACTGCTACTGTTGCATATATCTCTGCTTACTCAGATTTACCCACAGATGTGCCATCTCATTGTTCTTCATTCCTTCCTTTCCACTCTTTCATCTCCGTTACGTTCTTTTGTTTTTTTTGTTTTTGTTTTTGAGATGGAGTCTTGCTCTGTCGCTCAGGCTGGAGCACAGTGGCACCATCTCGGCTCACTGCAAGCTCTGCCTCCCAGGTTCATGACATTCTCCTGCCTCAGCCTCCAGAGTAGCTGGGACTACAGGCGCCTGCCACCACAAACGGCTAATTTTTTGTATTTTTAGTAGAGATGGGGTTTCACCATGTTAGCCAGGATGGTCTCGATCTCCTGACCTCATGATCCTCCCACCTTGGCCTCCCAAAGTGCTGGGATTACAGGCGTGAGCCACCGCGCCTGGCCCATTACCTTCTTTTAATAACTCCATCAGTGCAGATTTGTTGATGATGTCAGGTAACAGTCAAATTGTGGCTCTTTGTAATGACAATCTGTCTCATTCCTCTATCTGGCTTTAATATTTTCTTTTAACTTTGCTTTTTATGAGTTTCAACTATAAAATCCTGCCTAGAATTTGTTGGACTTCAATATGTGACTGCGTACCTTTCATCATTTTGGGAATATGCTCGATCATAATTTCTTCAACATTGCTTTTGCATTCAAGCTCCTCCCCGAGACTCCCAATGAACCTGTCAGCCTTCTCTACTGTATCCTCTGTTTCTTAGTTTCTCTTCATATGTTCCACCCTTTTGTTATTGTATGTTACATTCCGGTATTTTCTTGTGACCCACCTTCCAGTGCACTAATCCTCTCTTCAGTAATGTCTAATTTACTGTTAAATTGATGCACTGAGTTAAATCCATCCAATATTGGTTGCTGTATTTTTCAGTTCTAAATTTTCTATTTGATTCTTCTTCATATAAGTTCCCTGCAGAATGTTTTAATTTCTTTTATAACTCCCCGAACAAAGTTTAATTCTAGTAATTCTGTTTGGTAATTCCAATAACTGGATCTCCTTTGAGTCTAGTACTATAGCCTTTACTGGCTCTCATTCTTGTTGTCATGTGTCCTTATGCAACTGAGTATCTCTCATTATGTGTCATACTAGAGTCGTCCTTTGGTACACACAGGGGATTGATTCTAGGACCCCCAAGGATACCCCAAATTTGTGTATACTCAAGTCTCAAAGTCAGCCCTGCAGGACTCATGTATACAAAAAGTTGGTCCTCTAGATATGCAGGTTTCACGTCTTGCAAATACCATATTTTCAATCTAAGTTTAGTTGAAAAAAAATCCACATATAAATGGACTCACACAGTTCAAACCCATGTTGTTCAAGGGTCAATTGCATTTGAAAAACTATCTCATAAAAAATCTAAAGGCTGAAATGATGTTTTCTCCAGACAGAATTCTGACTTGATACTGGGAGTACCAGGAGTCTAGGATCACCTTAGTCAATTTCAGGTATTAATTTTTGGTGCCAATCAGATAAATCTGAAACTGTCAGGGGGAGATCTTTCAATTTCAGTTCACACTTACTCCTAGGGTATAGTCTGTTAGAGGCCCCCTGCCCCCAAAGCTTGGGATATTTATAAGAGTTCTCATCTTTGGCAAGCCCTCATCTCTAAACTTTGTCCTCTAGCCCTATAAAGCTGTCAAAAGTTCTGCTCAGGACTTGACTAGACTGCATCAAATCAAATAGTAATTAAATTAGAATTCAAAATTAAAAACATAGTCCTCCAAAAAATTTTCAGAAATTAAAAAACACATTCCTATGTTACTCATAGATGAAAGAGGAAGTGATGGAAAAAACAAAAATGCATAAAATTGAGCAATGGTGGTATGTATCAAAATTTGTGAGAACTTTGTATCATTAACTGGACTTTAGGAAAAAAGGCGAAAGGAACTGGTTTTACTGTAGGAGGTCTTAGCAGATTACGTATCCTACCACACAAAAGAAAATAGGAAACGAAATAAGAGCATCAAGAAGGAATACAACAAACAAACCCTCCTTATTTGCAGATGAGATGGCTTTCTACATAAAAACAGCAAGATCTACAAACAAGGTATAAAACTAGTATCTCAGAAAGGTAACTGGAGACAAGATTAATATAAATAAGAATTCTTATAAATCAGTACTATCCAATGAGAGAATGGAATAGAAAAATAGCTATCATTCACAATCAAAGGCCATAAAGTATTTAGAAATGTGTTTTTAAAAAATATATAAAACTTTTTGTTGTTGTTGTTGTTGAGACGGAGTCTTGCTCTCTCTGCAGGCTGGGGTGCAGTGGCGCGATCAAGGCTCACTGCAACCTCTGACTCCCTGGTTCAAGGGATTCTCCTGCCTCCCAAATAGCTGGGGTTTCAGGCATGCACCACCACGCCTGACTAATTTTTTGTATTTTTAGTGGAGACGGGGTTTCACCATGTTGGCCAGGATGGTCTCGATCTCCTGATCTTGTGATCCACCTGCCTCAGCCTCCCAAAGTGCTGCGATTACAGGCGTGAGTCACCACACCCAGCCAAAAGTTTTGAAGAAAGTTATAAAACATTACTGAAGAGCATAAAAGACTTTTTGACTAAACACAGAATTGTGACATTTTTATAAAGTATCATGGGTGGGTTGGGCATGGTGGCTCACACCTGTAATCCCAGCACTTTGGGAGGCCGAGGCGAGCAGATCACTTGAGGCCCAGAGTTCGAGACCAGCCTGGGTAACACAGTGGTCTCTGCTAAAAATAGAAAAAATAATCTGGGCATCATGGCGCATGCCTGTAGTCCCAGCTACTCGGGAGGCTGAGATGGCAGAATTGCTTGAACCCGGGAGACAGAGGTTGCTGTTAGCTAAGATCCCACCACTGCAATCCAGCCTGGGTGACAGAGTGAGACTCTGTCTCAGGAAAGAAAAAAAAAAAAAAAGTATCATGGGTGGAATGATAGTGTAAATAAAATTGTCAGTTCTCCACATATTAATCTATAATTTTAATAAAAATGCTACCAAAATCACAACAGAGTCTTCCGGTAGGACATAATAAATGTATGTTAAAATTCAAGAAGAATACATAAGAATAGCTAACAAATTCTGGAAAGCAATAACAAGTGGGGAACTTATGCTAACCAGGTATCAGCATAGATAAATGTCAAAAAATGTAGTGTTTACCCAAAAAAAGCACATTATAGAATTACATTCACATTTAACACCATTTATATAAAGTATCAAACAGCAAAATATAATGCCCTATTTTTTGTGAATATATATATGGATGTGGTAAAAGAAATATGAGACTGATAAGCACTAAACTCAAGAAAAGAGTTACCTCAGGTGACAGAGAAGAGGAAAGAAATCACAGAGAAGTACATTCAATCATACCTACAACAGTTCATCAAAAAACTAAAAATCAAAGTGAAAAGAAAACGTATAACAGTATTGGAATATGTCATTTGTGTAAAAGTAAAAAGCACCTGAAGCAAATATAAACAGATGTATATTCAAAGGGTTCATTTATCATTCTCTGTTCTTTTATATTTGTGCTATATTTTATAACAAAATTAATTAGGTAGGCAAAAAGAAAAGAAGGACAAAATTGAGGAGGAGTTGGATAAATTGATCTTTAAGATTCTTTTCTGCTCTAAGTCCCACCCTTTTCTAAATGTTCTGATTTAATGAGAGTCTTAAGTACCTATACTTCTTTCATTTCTAATTAAATTTAGGTATTAACTTTTTAGAACAAGTCGTAACATAAATCAGGTAAAGAATAAGAGGCTTGTGTGACACTTAATTTCACTTGCAAGACCAGGCTTCTGGCCATTTTTCTCTGAAGTAAACCTAATAACTTCAACACATTATATAAATAATAGATTTGTAAGAAATGTTTATCAGTCATCTTTTTAAATGTGGTCTCTTCAGTCTTCTCTTGCCCTACATGCTGCAGAGGGGAGAGAACCCTCTCCTTCCCCTCGGGAAATTCAATAATTAGAGTCTATAAAATAAACTGACAATTGATTAGCAGAAGAAAAGGTGTACACACTTATAACATGCATATGCATGGGGGATCCCACAAAGTGTGAGATGCAGAGAAACGCCAGATGGTTGAACTACGGTAGGGCAAGGGGAGGAACTGTACTATAAACAAAGATCATCTTATTATGCAGATAAAGTCTCTCAGGTGGCAGCCCTCAGAAGTACTGGTGAAAAGTCTGTCTGGGTGTGGTGTCCTGGGCATGAAGACCTGTCAGCCTCCTCTTCTGTGATATGAGTCATCTTCTCTGGTTAGTGTAGAATTCAGGGAAGTTATTCATGACAATCACATTCTTTCTGAAGGAACTTCCCTTAGTCAGATGAGAGAACTTCAGAGAAAGCTCCTCTCTGTGCTTCAGAGGGGTGGGAGACTAGGGAGCAGAATGTCCAAGAGACTGTAGTTTTGAGGCTACAAAGATGTAGAGAAATTGGAACCCTCATATATTGCTGGTGAGATTGCAAAATGGTGTAGCCGCTTTGGAAAACAGTTTGTTTCTCAACATACTAAATACAGAGTTATGGTTAGGCATGGTGGCTCACACCTGTGATCACAACATTCTGGGAGGCTGAGGCAGGAGAATCACTTGAGCTGAGGAGTTCAAGACCAGTCTAGGCAACCTAGTTAGACTCCATCTCTACAAAAAATTCCTTAAAAAGCTAGCTGGGCGTGGTGGTGCACGCCTGTAGTCCCAGCTAATTGGGAGGCTGAGGTGGGGAGATCACTTGAGCCCAGGAGTTCAGGGCTGCAGTGAGCTAGAACTGTGCCACTGCACTCCAGCCTGGGCAAGAGAACAAGACCCTGTCTCAAATAATATGAATAATAAATATACATAAATAAATTTTTAAAAAACACAGTTATCATATGACCCAGTAATTCTTCTCATAGGTTTATACCCAAGAGAACTAAAAACATGTTTCTAAACAAAAGTCTATACACAAATGCTCATAGCAACTTTATACATAATAGCTAAAAGGTAGAAACAACCCAAATGTCCATCAGCTGATGAATGGATCAATAAAATGTGATATACCCATTCAATGCAATATTATCCAGCAATAAGAAGAAATGAAGTACTGATATATGCTATGACTCAGATAAGTCTGTAAAATATATGAATGGAAACATCCAGTCACAAAGGCCACATCTTGTACGATTCTATTTGTATGAAATGTCTAGAATAGGAAAATCAATAGAAGTAGAAAGCAGATTAGTAGTTGTCAGGGACAAGGAGGGGAAAGATCGGGAGTGACTGATAATATGGGATTTCTTTTGGAGGTGATGAAAATGTTCTGACATTAGGCAGTGGTGACGGTTGTACAACTTCGTGAATATACTAAAAACCACTGAACTGTATATTTTTAAAGAGTGAAATTTATGGTACATAAATATCTCCATAAAGCCATTCTTAAAAAAATAGAAGATCAAAATTATGAACTTCTTTCCTTCTATGACTTCCATTTTTTCCATTATAAATACAAAATTTTAAATGTGACCTCACAACACTAAAAGGGATTATTTTTCCAGGTTATGTATCATTTCTCCTGATACGGGACCATTGTTCAGTCCTTCAAAATACTAGTTTTCTTTTGCAAATTTCTGGTAGGCATCCGCTATAGTTTGGTTTACTTGACCTCCTCCAAATCTCATGTTGAAGGTTGGTTACCGGTGTTGAAGGTGGGGCCTAATGGGAGATGTATGAGCCATGGAGGCAGATCCCTCATAAGTGGCTGGGTGAGTCTTCATATTAATGAGCTCTTGCTCTATTGGTTCTCTAAAGAGCTGGTTGTTAAAAAGAGCCTGGTATCTCCCTTCTTTCCTCTCTCTCCCCTCCTCCTCCTCTCTCACCATGTGGTCTCTGCACATATCAGCTCCCCTTTGCCTTCCACCATGAATAGAAGCTTCCTGAAGCCCTCACCAGAAGCAGAAGCCAGCACCCTGCTTCTTGTACAGCTTGTAGAACTGTGAGCCAAGTAAAGCTTTTTTCTTTATAACATACCCAGCCTCCGGTATTCCCTTCTAGCAGCAAAAACAGACTAAGACAACATCTTTATGTATTCCACAAATATGTATTAAACAATAGGGAGGGTGGCATCAACAGTTGTATTGTCAAGGGAGCACCAATAGGGAATATTGTCTTTATTCTTGAAGTGCTTAAAATCTAATTGGAAAAATCACTTAATATTTGTAGGTCTCAATTCCACCGTCTGTAAACTGATTGGTAACTTCTTTAGAATCCGGTTCATCTTAAAAGTTCTATGATTTTATCAGTTCTGCAAATCTAAGAGTTAAATTTGTTAAATTTCTCTCTACTTACAGCCCTAAGATGTTTAAGTAGAGTTTTATCAAAAAACTGCGCCTTGGTCCTAATAATAATAACCCATAATCATATTGACACTGGACATTTTTATGTGGGCCTACTGTAGCAGTTCTATTCTAGGTCAATAGCTACAGTGATTAAATTGTCTCTGAAGACCTCTAGGCCTTTAAAGTAATCAAACCACAGAGTGAGAAGATCAAGGAAAATAATTAACTTCTTTTATTCACCACTGATTGTAAGGTACCACTTCCTCCAACAGAGGTTAAATAACCATCTCGTGGTCTAACACAATTATTTCACTGCTGAAATTCCAGCCTCTCCTAAATTACCATATTTTCTGATATAAGACTTAATCCAGATATTTACTAAAAGAGCCGTCAGATCTTTACCTGAAAAGTTACCTAAAAAATAATATACATATATATGTATGCACATATACAAAATATTTAACCTCACAATTTCAATTCTTCACATATTTTCTTTAGGAGGTCCCTGGCTTAAACTTGGTTATCACAAGAAAATAGACAAGAAGGTTATGAAGACCTAGAAGCACCCGCCTCTCCTCACCAATTTGCAGTAACTTCAAATTCAATAATTTGTTTGGCTTTCAAGATTTTAATCATGGTAGCCTGATGCAGAGGAAAACAGAAGTGACTGGATTCTAGAAATAAATGTAGCTTTCAAAGGGCATTTGTCAAAAGGGTTTAGAATATAACATGAGACGTTAGAGAGTAATGGTATCAATTCTTACTCAAGTGACAAAATCACTTCTCTAACAAGCAATGTTCAGCATAATTTAGTAGGCACTAAATTATGATATTATTACCATGAGCGAGATAATTGTTAACCACTAACAAATAATCTTTCTACTCCATGGTATCCTTTTGCCTTTTCTTCCACGAAAGCCTTAGTCTTAAAAATAGCACCAAATAATATTGTAAGTTTTTCCTCAGTAATATTCAGTGCTAAAAAGATGATCAGTTCTGACCCACTTCAGATGGCTTCTTAAACCAACTACTTATCAAAATCAAACAAATTAATTTTACTTTCTCAAGACTTTATCTTAAAAATAAAAATTTACTAAACATCCTACCATGGTCACACACTTTAGTTTCCTATGGTTACTGTAACAAATTACCAAAAACTTGGTGGATTAAAATAACAGAAATTTATTCTCTCACAGTTCTGGAGGCCAGAAGTCCAAAACCCTTATCAGCAGGCCAAAATCAATGTCTTAGCAAGGCCATGCTCCCTCCAGAGGCTCTAGAGGAGAATCCATTTCTCATCTCTCTCAGCTTCTGGTAGCTGCCTGCATTCCTTAGCTTGTGGACACATCACTCCAATTTTCAAGATCAGCATCTTCAAATCTCTCTCTGCTTCATTTTCACATTGCCTTTTAGTATGTGTGGTAAAAACTTCCTCTACCTTGCTCTTCTCAGGATGCATGTAATTCCATTTAGGGCCCATCCTGGTATTCTAGGATAATCTCTCCATCTCAAGATCCTTAAGTTAATTACATCTGCAAAGACTCTAAGTCTATGTAAGGTAACATTTACAAGTTCCATGGCTTAGGACCTAATATCTTTAAGGGACTTACTTTTCGGCCACCACCATCCACCCTCTGGCCTTAAAGATTCATATCTGACCCACATGCCAGATACATTTGCCCCATCCCAGCATCCCCCAAAGTCCCAACTCATCACAGAATCAACTCAGGTTCAAAATGTCATCTAAATAAGCATCATCTCAAACTCCCAAATCTTACCTAAATTAGGTTTGAGTTAGATTATGGGGATGATCTATCCTGAGGCACTTCTAGATATTTACCACACAAAGCCCTACACACAAATTTTTATAGCAGCTTCATCTATATTGGAAAGAATATAAACAACCTTTAATAATGGATGAACAAACTGTGATACATCCATATAAAGGAATACTACTCTGCAACAATACAAGTAACAGCATGGAGAAATCACAAATGTGCTCTACTAAGTAAAAGAAGCCAAACTCAAAAGGCTATCTACCACATGATTCCATTTCTATGGCATTCTGGAAAAGGAAAAATAGAGCGACAGAAGGCAGATAAGTGATCCTTAGGCTCCAGGGCAGGGGGGAAAAACTGACCACAAAAGGGCTAACGGAATTTTTAGGGGATGATAAATATGTTCAACATCTTGACCATGGTGTTAGGTCCAACACATGGCTACACAACTCCATGTGTTTGTCAAAACTTGCAGAACTGTATAGAAAAGGAGGGAATTTAACTGTATGTAAGTCAAAAATAAATTTAATTAAAATTGGGAAAAAAAAATTTACAATGTTTCACACATTTACTGTAGCCAGTGTTCCATAAACCCATGCTGACCTGGTACTAAAAAAAAAAAAAAAAAATTACAGGCCTCCCACTTCTCCGGCAGGGGCAGCTGCTGAGCCAGGAGTCACTGGGCATGTGGGACCACCTCCCTGATGTGATGCAAGATGTGAACCTGGTGGGCCGCCCACTGACCTGTTGCTACAGTCCCTGAAGTGAGTCCCCAGGTTGGGCCTGCCAGGTCGGGCTGGCTGTGCCCTGGCCCTGGTGATGGTTGGTCCAGCTGGGGCAGCAGATATTAATGTGCCAGGCAGTGCTGGCAGGTGAAGCCCCGAGTGGACCCTGTAGATCGGATGGACCACGTGGAGTACCACTACAGCAAGGCCATGCCACTCATCTTCATGAGCAGTATGCTCTGCAGCGGCACCATGCTGATACTCACTGGGCTGGATGCCCACCTTGAGGTGCACCGCAGCAAGGAGACGCACATCATCCCTTGTGTGCTGGCCATGCACCAGGCCTGGTCCAAGTCTGGCCACAAGAAACTACAGCTGGACAAGGCGGGCGTGACTGACGAGGTGCTGGACATTGCCATGCAGGCCTTCATCCTGGAGGTGATCTCTAAGCAAAGGGAGCCAGCCCATGTGCTCTCCAACAAGGACCACTTCAGACTCAAGTCCTTGAATCACTGGTCTACCTGTCACACCTGTTCTCCAGCTCCAAGTTCCTGCTTATGGCTCAGGACAGCCATGTCTCCATGCACTCCTTGATCACATGCAAGGTCACTATTGCAAGGTCACTACCCAGGCTTCGACCTCAGCAGCTATGGCAACTGCCTCACCAAGTGGAACAAGGCCATAGAGGTGATGTACACCCAGTGCATGGAGGTGGGCAAGGACAAGTGCCTGCTCGTGTACTACAAGGAACTGGTGCTGTAGCCTAGGAGCTTCCTCAGACTCATCCCAGACCATCTCGGCATCACCTGGAGCAACACTGTCCTCCACCATCAAGACCTCACTGGCAAGTGGAATGGCATCTCCCTGTCTAAGATCCAGTGGTCCATGGATGAGGTCATCAAGCCTGTGAACCTGGAAGTGCTCTCCAAGTGGACTCACCACATCCCTGGGGACATGGTGCCAGACATGGCCCAGATTGTCCCATGCTGGCTCAGCTTAGCCATGACCCCTATGCAAATACCCTCCCCAACCCCCACTTCCACTATAGCAACCCTGACCCCCATCATCATCAGTAACGCACACCAAGTAAGGGACTATAAAACACCAGTCAATCTGAAAGGATATTTTCAGGTGAACCAGAATAGCACCTCCTCCCACTTAGGAAGCTCATGATTTCCAGATCTCTGCAAATGGCTTTGTTGCCCAAAAGAGAAGAAACTGCATTTAAGTGGAAGTTGGACCCCTTATCCAAGCATATTGCTTGCTATTAGTCGCCAAAACAGGATGGCTAATGAGGAATATATTTGCATATGTTTGCAAAACTGAATCATTGAAAACATACCTTGAAACTCTATCTTTGGATACCCTACGGTGGAAAGCAATGATTGTGGAACTCGTCTGGCTTTTGAAACTTAGGTATTTTATATTTTTCCCCTCGAGAACTATTTTTTTTTTTTTTAAGAAATGGATTTGCCATCCTCCTTAATTTGCAGGACTCCCTTTGTGGCTTTGTTTGCTGGAACAAGGCCCACAGACTGTGCTTCTCTTACAGATCCTTACTTTGAATTTTAAGAATCTACTTAAGAATTTAATATATAAGGCCTTCCCTGATTCCCCATCAGTTCTAGCTAGTTTTGAAGAGAAAAAAAAAATGATTTGAATAAAATGAACAGGGGCTTAAATAAACAAAAATTTAAAAATAAATTATATATATCACATAATATTTAATACATGCAATTTTAACATACATATCTAATTTTAATATATATTTAAATATATCCTGATGACAATAACAGAGATGTACCCAATACAAAATACATAATCTCTAAGAACATATAAACTATTTTTTGTAGAGTTCATCTTGAATAAATTTACTTACTATAATCTGATAAAAATGCTTAAATGTGAAATAAAAGGTAACAAAATAATCCAGTAATTAAATATTAAAATTAAGAAAATGACAACATTTCAACAAGAGAACAAATTTCTGTTGTTTAAGCTACCCAATCTATGGTATTTTGCTATGGCAGCCTGAGCACACTAAGGCACTGGGGATCCTTACGTAACAGGCCATACTGAGAGTTGATGATTAATTATTCCTCCAATATTCCCAGCTAGCTAACTAATTCTTCAAGATCCAGGACTGGGCCAGGCTCTCCCGAGTTCAACTCTGAGTCTCTTTCTTGAAAAGCAAGTTCTAAAAACTTCCACAGAAAACAAGTTTGTGGCTGCATCAGGTTAGCTACATATGTTGGGTTTTATGAAGTAATCTAATTTTACTCCAAGGTGTCGAATTTTTTCCCCTAAATTTCAAATATTTTCTGGTTTTGCTTATACAGAAAATATCATGAATGAATCTCTCTTATCAGAGAATTCTTCAATGTATGAAATCCTGCTAGAATACATAAGACATCCTACTAACTCTATGCAATCATAAGTGAATGAACATCTAGAGGTTAAATTTAATTCCGTGACCATAATGCTACTAGTCTATGTCTAATAAGCACAGTTACTTTCCAACCTTTTCACAGAGTAAAAAAGTTTAGAATACTTTTTTTTTTTTTTTGAGACAGGGTCTCGCTCTGTCGTCCAGGCTGGAGTGCAGTGGCGCAATCTCGGCTCACTACAAGCTCTGCCTCCCGGGTTCACACCATTCTCCTGCCTCAGCCTCCCAAGTAGCTGGGACTACAGGTGCCCGCCACCACACCCGGCTAATTTTTCTTTTGTATTTTTAGTAGAGACGGGGTTTCACTGTGTTAGCCAGGATGGTCTTAATCTCCTAACCTTGTGATCCGCCTGCCTCAGCCTCCCAAAGTGCTGGGATTACAGGTGTGAGCCACCACACCCAGCCTAATATACTTTTTAAAACCATTTAAATATTTCCTTATTCTTTTTCTGCACAAAAATATATGTTCTGCCCCCACTAATCTTTCTTAATTTAATAGGTCACAGAAACCTCATATAAAACCCGCAAAAATGACTGGTCACTTTCACTTTGTAATTCTTATAATTTATAAAAATTGTAGGTATAACTACCATCTTTACTACTTTCTTCCCAAATAAATTCTCAGTTATATTAAAATAATGGTATTAATAATCTCATACTTTTTCCCTGTCTTCTGCTTCTTACTCCCATCCCAACCCCCAATTACCAAGCTGATACTTTTAAGAATTTAACAAGGAAATGCAAAAACTTGCATAAAAGTACCTTCCTGAATATGCAGTTCCTTTAAACAATCTCAGTAGTACTCTCAGGAGGTCAAGCAAACTATTTGAAGCCTCAGTAGATGACATGTTTTCCTTGCTGTATTAGTTTGAAAAAACTATAGATTTTCAATCTTCTCTAAAAACAACATCATCATCATGATATGGACTATAATTATTCTACAACCACCCACTTTAATAATAAATGCTGGCAATGTTAAAACAACAAATGGAATGCCTTACAATGCATTAAGCTCTTCTCTTAATAAACACAAAATTCTAAGTCTTACCACAACCTTTTATTCTTGATTCACAATCAAATCCTTTTGTCAGTTATTCTCAGCACTTAATGTTATTCATTCCAATAAATCCAATCTTAGATGGCTACAAATGCCTTCCCTGTTTCTCTATGTGTCTTAAGAGAAACCAGAGGATGAGCAGAGATGGAGCTGTCATTAAGACTATGCACAATACAATTAGGCTTTGTTATATACTAAATTTTGCTAGAATACCTATTTGTAACTTTTCCCCATTTCTGTTGAACTCTAATAAAGAGTAGGTGCTCAATAAATACCTACTGTCATGATGATCATGATAATGAAGATGGTAACACTGGGGGAACACTTATTAGCTACCAGGTACTGTTTCATTTAATTATCATCACTATAATAATAGTAGTGTTTTCTTAAGAAACTAAGGGAGAAAAGTGAAGTATCTTCTCCAAATTGACACAGTCAGGATGTGAATATAGGCAGTTTGGCCTTAGACTCTAGGTTCTTAATCACTGCCTCCAAATCATAAAACAAATTACTTTCAAGAACCAGTATGTCAATGTTTCACAAGATGCTTAGTTGCAAACAACTTAATCTACTCAATTGAGTTACAACAAAAAACAAAATTTACTAAAGGTTTTAGACAGTTCGTGGAATTTACCACAGGACCAGAAAGTCGAGTTCAGAGGCCTTATAACCAAAAACAGCATTCCAACCACACCATAGGAGTGCTCCCCTCAAACGCTACAGCAACTTCCAGGACCCTGTTCAGGGTACTGAGCTGCCTGCCCCATGGCGTCAACAACTGGTTACCCCCACTGCAACACTTGCCAAAAGAATGGAGCCTGCACACAAAGCCATTTTCACCCTAAAATCCACCATTCACTACTGAAGTTCAACTTGGCAGATCTGAGTTCATCATTCGATAAAGTTAACATGCAACTACTGGCTGTAAATAAATATAATTTAAAGTAAAAAATATATAAAGTTATATTGACAGTATGTTTAAAATTACAGTCTCAAGTAAGAATATGCTCAAGATCTAAAAGAGAAGGCAAAATTGTTTAAAAAAAAGTATGGATTTGGGTTTATAGGTGATTTCTTCATCCTTTTTTTTCTGGTTTTAATGTTATTTACATAAGAAATAAAAATTCAGCGGGAAAAACATACATTTCCCTTGGCATATATACAACATCCTAAAAATGTGACTGAGTTTCACTATGTTCCCAAAATAACACAACCCAATCAAAAAATACAAAATTCACATCCTGTGAAAGCCCCCAAAAGCTGCAAAAGCCCTAAAAAAATGCAAAATTTTATAGAACCACAGCTTACATTGCATTAGATTATGTTAGATTCTCCCCAAATTTGAATGTGTGCCCTGCACATTGGCAGCTCCATACATTTGTGTGTCTCAATATTTAGAAATGGCTGAATTTGATATAAGAAGCTTCAATTTTCTTCCCCCCATCAAAATGGCCTCCCCAGACCAGAGGAAGCCAGAAAGGCTGCCTCCCCGATACAAACACCAGCATGATTCAAGACAGGACCCACCTGGGGAAGTGCTCCCTGCCCCTTACTAGAAGGCCAGGCTCTGCCTGGTTCCTGTTAGAGCTACTTGACCTCACCCTGGGGTCTGCCCATGACTTCCAGACCAGCCCTAACCAGACCAGTGAGTAGCACTGGCCAAATACTCTGGCATCCAAGGATAAGTCCCATTTGCTGTTACCCTGGTTCCTCATGTTTCCTCAAGTCTATAACCACAGGCCCCTGAGGTGAAATACAGTCTGCTTCCCAGCTTCTCTGTGTATGAAGATCTTGTCTTTAGAAATCTAGCTAGAATTACAGTTACTCAAGAATTTGCTCATGCCAGGAACCAGTCCCCAAGGATATCCTGACTGCTGGGCCCTGCTCCCCATGACAGAAGTCCACACAGCTGCTGTACTTCTATGAACACTGCCTCTCTCTACTCCACAATGGCATGCCAATGAGACACCTGCTTGGGTTTCCTTCCTACCACTTCTATGCCAGTTAAAGAGCAGAGAAGAGCAGATCCAACTGTCCCCACCCCTCCCTCAAGCCCGATGAGAAAAACTGGGTCACCACTAGCTTCACTCTACACGTGACAGTAAAAATGCCAGAAGACCTATTTTGCATATAAACTTTTACCATTAAAGAACATATATTGAAATCTAGTTTTAAGCATAAGCACAATGAAAAAGATCAAAAGCAGGTGACACCATGATGAAAGAAACAAACACTTTACTTTGAAAAGTTTTTCTCTTCAAGTTTTCCACACATAAAATTCTAACCACTTATAGGTAGTCATCATTTCAATGAATTGTGTCAAATGAAACAGGGAAAAGAAAGATACATTCACCATGAGGCTAATTTATGATCTCACTAAATCCAGCAGACTGAAGGATTTCATTTAGTCTATCATGAATTCTTAGACCAAAGCAATTCTATTAAAAGCCCTTGGAGGAAAAAAAAAAAAACTGAACTTGTTGTCAGGTCAAACAACAAAAGCTTTCCCTAAATATTATAATTAAGTCAGATACTGCCCTTCACACAATTTTGAATGGCTAGCACCAAGGAATTTGCCCATCTAAAAGGGAGGCCAACAAAATAAATTTTTTTTTGTTTTTACAGAATGTTTATTCTCTGAAATCCAATGCATTCAAAGGATGTTAACACTTAAAATGTTTATCATTTCCACCAACTGCATTATCTTAGTAAACCAAAATAAGCACTTTTATCATAGATGTAGTCAATGATTAATACATTTTTTTAAAGGACCTAAACTTCCCCCAAATTTCAGCACAGGTAGTTTCATTGTATGTTTCACCTAGTAGGTGATTTTTAAAAAATAGTGTATAGAAATGAATAGTTTCAAACTGAGTAAATATAGTATACCATGTCATAAAACAACCAAATCAAAAACAACTGCCATGCTAACAATAAGTCAAAGAAATAGTAATTCTGGCTTGTACAGATACGTGCAGTGTTTTCAAAGCTCTTAACAGTTAATCGCTAATACGTATCTCCAAAGCTTAACTTAGAGTTGGAAGGTGAATTTCACAGTAATGTAATTTTAACCACTATTTACATTCACTTTAATATATTACCAAGATGCTTACGCTATGTCACAATGGTGCTTTCCAGTATTCACAATTTACACGTAATTGTACACACATAATCTAACATATGGGACAGTTCTTACTATTACAAATTATCCCTTAAAAGAAAAATAAAACCCACCTTACATAGAACTCTAAACATGGTATGACTTAAAACAGATAAACACAACATGGCTTTTAATATTTTAGCCATTTTCTAAATAACAGCATGTAAACTTGTGTATTTAGTATATGAGAGCTACAACTTGATTCACTGAGAAATTATGCATTAATTTTCTTCAACCATCTTTCTCATCTTTACTAAAAAATCTCATGACTTGCTGGTTCTGTTTCAGTGAATTCCAAACTGTATTTTTTGGGTGTGGGGGAAGAAGAGGAGGAAAGGAAGGTGATAAATACACTGTAAACAGAAATAAGTCCCCCCCCAAAATTAAGCCTTTAAAAAAAAAATAATATTTTACTTCTACACTATTTAACACTTAAGAGTCAGTCACAATGTTTCATCTTTAACACTGACAGCAAATAAATTACTGTAAGGTCAGTCCGCCTTACCATCTTGGGACCTAAAATTCTCAATGTGTGAACAGAAGAGTAAATACTTCAATGTTCAATTCTGAAATTTAGAACAATTTATATGATTTGACTAGACTGGTCAAAGCAATGACAAATATAATTCAGTAAGTAGTTGGTTATTTTGCTTTTGGGGATGGGCAGTCAAAGAACAGAGAATAACATATGGAGTAAGAAAAAAAAATTGTTTCCCATTTTAGCAGGGGGAATCACAGGGAATTTTAAGACTCTGAAATATATTTCACCTACACACTGAGGTCCAAGATAATTTTCAATTTATTTTTATTTTTATTTTATTTTTATTTTTTTTGAGACAGAGTTTCGCTTTGTCGCCCAGGCTGGAGTGCGGTGGCGCCATCTCGGCTCACTGCAAGCTCCGCCCCCCGGTGTCACGCCATTCTCCTGCCTCAGCCTCCCGGGTAGCTGGGCCTACAGGCGCCCGCCACCACTCCCAGCTAATTTTTTGTATTTTTAGTAGAGACGGGGTTTCATCGTGTTAGCCAGGATGGTCTCGATCTCCTGACCTCGTGATCCGCCCACCTCGGCCTCCCAAAGTGCTGGGATTACAGGCGAGAGCCACCGCACCCGGCCGAAATTTTCAATGTTTTTAAGAAACCCCATTCTTTCCTTGAGTATCAAACTGATTAGTAGTCACATGTCCAAGTACAATCACAGTTTTACAACTTGTTGAAGGAAATATTAGTAAGGTCAAAAAGACAGACTCAATTTCAAACTAAAAAAAAAAAATCTACTCAAGTTTTACATTCAGTTTTCAAATCATTTACTAACATGACAACAGATTTTGCTTCAATCGCTCTTGTACACACTCACACCCACAACAGGCACCCCAGCCACTAATCCGCTTTGCAATACAAGGCCATATAATCAGAGATGGCATTCTCCACGCCAAACTTTAAATAGATTTTAAAAAGTAATTTCTAATTTTACAGAAATGCTTCTTCAAAAAATATTTCCTCTCACTCCCTCATCTCCTATACTGAAGGATGTATAATGTTGTTTTTTTTTTTCCTCCAAGCTGAAACTGAACCCTCAAAATTGATTCCTGGCAGCAAATCTCTGCAAATTAAAACCAAAAACAAAAATAGAAAAAATACACTTTATATGTGTGTGTGGATGGATGGATAGATAGATAGATAGATAGATAGATAGATAGATAGATAGATAGATAGAAATCCTCCAGCATTTATAAATCACATCAGAGATGAATTTTGGGATCCTATCACTCACAACTCCAAAATCCATAATGATTTAAGGATGTACTTTCTCCTGTTTCCTTCCTGGTTACCCTCTCCCCTCCAAAACAGTTCAATATAGCTACAGCTCAAGTTTAACGGGAAGAGAGAGAAGTTTTTGAATAGTTTTGTTGTTTTTTACTTTGGTGATCTGGGTGGCACATATTGCTCTTTGCCATTACGTCATGTCACTCCCTGAGGTATAGCCCTACGACTAAACTGGCATCTCTGTTCCCTGATTTTTCCAGCTGCTCCCCTGGGAATGGTATGGCCTCAGAAGCCAGAATAATCCTTACTAGCCCTTGCTTCTGGCTTCTCATTTGGTTTCTCAAGGGACTTCTAAGGAGCTTCATTGTCTTTGTTTGTCGTGGGAGACACTACATTGGAGCGAAGTTCCCATAGTGGCTACACAAGAACTGAAGATGGCTCTTTAGGGGGCTTCTGGCACACTTCAGCATAACTTAACTTTCAGGGTTCCTGTAGAGTCACGGTGTAGCTACATTTATGTTACGATTACATGGTGAGGCAGTACTTGCCCTCCATGGCTTTGTAGTACTTGGAGGAGAAACTGGTATAGTTGTCTGGTTGAGACCATCCTTCTGAACAGAGGAATCCTCTATTAGATCCTTTTTTTTTTTTTTTTTTTGGCTGAGTTGTGCTTAATGCAGTAGGCTCAGCTGCACATGGAGAACTGGTACTCATACTGAGTTGCTGGGCAGAAGTGCATTCTGTCTGCTCATCTGCAGGCACTGGGCAACTAACTCTCAACACTTCATTATCCTTTTCTTTGTAGACACCTTTAACAACATCAGACATCCTATTCTCCAAAATGAGTTTATCTGGGATTCTTGATGAACTTCCAGGTAAAGGTGGAAAATTTGAGGCTAGTAAGTCAAACTTTGGTGTTGGAGGCTTTGATTCAGCTGTTGAAGGATGAGGTCTTGAGATTGACATCTTGTCGTCATCTTCGACCTCTGAAAAGAGTTCTCCTGCCCCTACCATAGTCCCCATTTTGTTCCATCTGCAAAGTGGAAGTCTCCTTTTGAAGTTAAGTTTGCTCCTAATCCCCAGTTACTGTAGGATTATGCTTTCAGTTGAAAAATTTTTTGAACTAGATCTGTTCAATTGTCCATCCCCCAATGATACAGAGTCCTCTGTTGAGTGTTCTGAACCACTGGATGACCTAAAATGAGGCTTCAGGTTTTTTTTTGGAATGGTCGACCCATATTCATAGCAGTAGCATGTCTTTTATAAGATCCTGGTGAATTAATGCCATTCACAAAACTACCATTGGGAAAGCGGGCCAGTGGTGTTTCAAAGTAAGGTGTAGGATTTGGAGACCAAGACTGAGGAATAATACTATAGACCGAGAACTGCTGGTGAAGATTATATACAGGCTGCATAAAGACTGGGGAGGCATACTGTGCTTGAGTCTGAATGGGCTGACTATAGATACTAGAATCCATTAATTAGTAACAATTCTTAGCAAAAAATGTATTGATGGCTTTTATCCTTGCCATAATTGGCTTGCCCTGAAATGTTTTAACTTCTTCTCTTAAGGATTTAAAAGCCTTTTGTGTATCTGTGTCTGACTGGAAAGTGATATACCAGCTGCTACTGTGTGCAAACTCACAACTTATCACTTTGGGGCAGTTTTCAATTTGAACAAAGCTTTCACTTCCTCTATTGGTGTTGTTTCAGGAATCTCTCTAAGAATCACAATACAACGCTTATGACTTGGCTCACTTTTTTACCCTTCTCATCAATTTGTACCATGGGAGAAGAACTTAACACTTCAAGAATTACATCAGGGTCTGTGGTCAACTTTTTTATTTCTTCCATGTTAACAACTGTCCAAATTGGGATGAACTGATCACTATCCATTTGAGAGATCAAGTAAAGATTCTTTGACAAATTTTCTCGTGAAAACCAGAATTCTAATTGTTTCTTTAGACATTCTTTTAGGTCTTCTGTAGAAATTGCTGAATTGCTTTCTCCAGAAACATCATATATTTGGTAACTCAGATCTTCTGGTCCTAAAATCATCCCATCAGTTGATTCTTCAATGCCTGTAGTATTTCTTGTGGTTTCACAAGACAAAGAACACATTACTTCATATTCTTTACATATATCTTCTGAGAGCTCTGCATTAACCTCAGGATGAGCACCCGATGTGGCTGCTGTTTCATGCCAAGAGCTTTCAGTTCTATGAGTTACTGGGGTGGCATCAGTATTCCCAGGAGCAATTTCTTGCCATACTTTGGCATTAGGATTTAAACCAGTTCCTTTAGATGTTACCTGCTCCACGAAAAACAACATGTCGTCCTCTGCTCGGCCCAATCGTTCCCACAGCTGCAACTCTAACTGGCTCACAGGCCCGTGCCCCAACAGAATAAATTTTTTAAATAAGTTTTTGTTCTGAAATATTAAAAGGTATAATACTTTTACAATTTTATTTGCATTATATATATATATATTTTTTTGACACTAAGTCTTGCTGTGTCACCCAAGCTGGAGTGCAGTAGCACGATCTCGGCTCACTGCAACCTCTGCCTCCCAGGTCCAAGCAAGTCTCCTGCCTCAGCCTCCTGAGTAGCTGGGATTACAGGCATGCGCCACCATGCCTGGCTAATTTTTGTATTTTTAGTAGAAACAGGGTTTCACCATATTGGTCACCATATTGGTCAGGCTGGTCTCGAACTCCTGACCTTGTGATCCGCCCACCTCAGCCTCCCAAAGTGTTAGGATTATAGGTGTGAGCCACTGCACCCAGCCTTGCATTATATTCTTGGAACAATACTGGAATTTGCACAAGGCTGATATTACTCTATGCAGACTAGAAAATGTTGGCTTATCCCAGCACTTTGGGAAGCCAAGGCGGGTGGATCACCTGAGGTCAGGAGTTTGAGACCAGCCTGACCAACATGAAGAAACTCCGTCTCTACTAAAAATACAAAATTAGCCGGGTGTAGTGGCTCATGCTTGTAATCCCAGCTACTTGGGAGGCTGAGGCAGGGGAATCGCTTGAACCCGGGAGGTGGGGGTTGCAGTGAGCAGAGATTGTGCCATTGCACTCCAGCCTGGGCAACAAGAGCGAAAGTCTGTCTCAAAAAAAAAAAATGAAAGAAAAAGAAAAATGTAGGCTTAGAAAAAAATGACCAAAACAGAAGCATCCAGTTCTTAAAGGATAGAGCCTCTAAAAACTTAACATGGCACCTCCAAATCCCTGAGACCCAAAGCCTCCAGTTCACCTGTCCACCATGTATATGATGTGCCTTCAGCCTGGTGGTTAAGAGATTAGTTGTGAATTCCAGATAATGAGAAGAAGGAAGAGGCTACATCATGCCGCTTATGTTTTTCTGTACACACATCCATTTTCCCCCATCGATGCTCTTGCTATATTCTCCCACTGGTCCAATGTTAGACTGAATTGAAACACTGTGAAGGCAAATGTTCTTCAGAATTGCTTTTAGAATAAAAATATGAAGGAGGATACCTGGGAATTTCCAAAATGACTACATCAAACCTGAATTTTAACAGAATTCTGACAATTATATAATGCCCCAAGAAGAAAACCAGAGGAAAAACAACATGTAACTTCAAACCAAAAAACAAAACAAGAAATTGAGAAGGACTGTGTTTTTAAAAAACTAAATTTTAAGCATTCACAAATGTAGGTAGAATAATCTTTCATTGGTTGTTGCGGGACTCGCACTGCTGTTTCAGGGGCTCTCAATAGAATTGCTTTGGGCTAGGAGTTCATGAAACCCTTCAGATTTCTGGATTTAGTGAGCCCATAAATAAGTCTCATGTTGAAATTTAATTATTTTTTGGACCACACTTCATTGTGCAGATTAATTTTAATTGAAGTATTCTTTTCTTCATTTGCTTTTCCATTAAATTGAGTTCTTTTTATTATTATTATTTTCATTTTTGGAGGGACTGGTTCTTTATTTCAAAAAGACACTTGTCAATATTCAGTATCAAAACAGTTGCACTATTGATTTCTCTTTCTCCCAATCAGCCCCAAAGAGACCACATCAAAGGAGAGTACATTTTAAGCCAATAAGCTGCAGGATGTACACCTAACAGACCTCCTAGAAACCTTACCAGAAAATGGGCACTGGGTAGGGAAAGAAACTTTAAAAGATCAACAAACTGCCAGCCCACGGACTGCAGAGGCTGTCACAGCCAGATGCGGTGGCCAGGGTGCCACAAACCCAAAGAAGCAAAGTTTCAAAATAATATAAATTTTAAAAAGTTTTGTACGTAAGCTATTCAAGATTTCTCCAGCACTGACTGATACAAAGCACAATGAGATGGCACTTCTAGAGACAGCAGCTTCAAACCCAGAAAAGGGTAATGAGATGAGTTTCACACGGCTAAATCAGTGGCAAAAACACAATCTTCTTTCTTTCTTTCAAGGAGGCAGGAAAGCAATTAAATGGTTACCTCAACATAAGGGGGGACATGATCCATTCTGTAAGCAGTTGGGAGGGGGTAGAGATGGGACAAAAATTTTGTCTCAGAGGTCTTACCATCTTAATTTGGTGACTTCTAATGAAAAAATAAAATAGAAATAACATTATCCAAAGATATATTAAAGCTGAAAACTTGAACAGCACATTTTTTGTTTTTGTTGTTGTTTGGCTAACTCCTCCTGGAATCACCTTTCTGGTTTAGCTAGTACTTTGTAGACAGCAATGAGGCTTCCCATAGTACAGTCTTTCCCTGGGCTCTGTTTGGCTCTCAGTAAGGCAGGCCTATACCTTTTCCTCTCCTCTATGGAGAGGGGAATATGCATTAAGGTGAAAAGTCACCTTCCAAAAGTGAGAAAGGGATTAGATTGCTGCTTCAGGGCTGTGGAATTATTTGGAATGTTTGACAAATGGTTGCTACAAAACAACAAAAAAGGTAATTACAAAATGTGTACATCATAACATGCTTTTTAAAGACACTATGCATTGTGCTCACATTCCCTTAAATGTTGTTTCCAAAGGTGCTCAGCCTCTAGCCCAGCTGGAATCTCTGGGAAGAGGCAGAGACAGTTTGGCAAAAAAGCCACAGGGGAGAAGGGGGTGGCGAAAGGAGAAAGCAGCCTTCCAGTTAAAGATCGGCCCTCAGTTAAAGGTCAGCTTCGGGCAGGCTGGCCTTAGGTGGAGTCAGGGTCAGAGGGAGGAGCAGCAGCAGGGTGGGAATGGGGCATTCTACAGCTCATTCAGGTCAGCAGAGTCTGGTCCAGCAACCTCTGTGTACAGAATACTCCTCTTTGGTGCATTTCAGTTTATCTTCCAAGTCATTTCCAGCTTGGCTACCGATCTCTCAGCAAACTCAGCACAGGTCTCTCCTTGAGTTTATCAGTAGAATCTTGATCTCTTCCTCATATTTGTCTTCTTTTTGAGAGTAGTTTTCTTCAGCAGCACTCAGACACTTCAGGTTCTGGTCCATCAGTCTGATCTGCTCATCCATCTCTCGGCAATGGGGCTCTGCCAGCTCAGCTCATTCTCTGTGCGTTCCAAGTCTCCTTCAGTGATCACCCACTTACAAGCCACCTCTTCATACTTCCTATCTGCCTCTTCTGCAATGTGCTTAGCTTCTTTGGGTTGGATTTCCTGGAGTTCTATCTTTTCTTCATCTTTTAAGGCCCGGTTTTCAAAAACCTTCATACCTGTCTCACTCTCATCAGCAGCTTTTTCCGCTTCTTCTAGCTTTTGCAGGGCAGTAGCCAGGCGCTCCTGAGCACGGTCCAGCTCCTCTTCAACCAGCTTGATCCTACGGTTCAAGGAGGCCACCTCAGCCTCAGCCTGTTCCCGGGCCCGCCTTTCTCCCTCAACTTCTTGCTGGAGGCGCTCAGCTCACTCCTCTGCATCATCTGCCTGCTGCTGCACAACCTGGATCTTGCGCTTCACCGCCTTGATGGTGGTGATCCCAGCCATGGTGCCCACCTAGCTACTGCTCACGCTCCAGTTCCTGCCTCCTCCACTCAGCGTTGCAGCCTCCTCTCCAAAACTGAGTTCTTAAGACAAGGAATCCTTTTTTTATCTTTACATCTTTTTAACTTTACGTCATCAATATATAGCACAGTGACTTGCACCTATTAGCCTTCCAAGTGATGACTTAGTGAAGAATGACCCTCCTCCTCTCATTCCCTAACATCCACACCCGCATACCAAACACACACATCCATTTTAAGGGAAAATGTAAAAACATTGCAACTCACAGACACAGCAAATGAACATGCATTGAGATAACATGTGAACACATAACAGAGATGCCATTGCTAACGGAGATGTTTTGCTTCCAAACACCGTGGTGCCTAACAATTAGTGATTTTAAGCTTCACAAGAATAAGAGAGTGTGTGCTCCTAATTAAGTCTTAGAAATTTTGACTATATCAAATACAGAACAAAAACCTAGTATGTTTTGGCCTCTGCTTTCATTTTGATAATGGCTACAATATCACAAAATTCAAGCAACCAACTGTTACCTTTTTAAGAGATATCGACAAATACTGAGATTGATGGAAACGTTTTCTTAGGGAAAAGATGTTTATGTCCAGACTAAAAATAATGATGCCTGAAAAGAGCACTGTGACCTGTTGATTATATAATCAGTAACCGCTCCCTAACCCAACTCTCTATCTTTACAACATCCAAGAAGATAATGCAGACTAGTCATTGCAGGAAATCTGTAAAAGCCATATACAAGTCCTGACATAGTCAGACCAAATCCAGAACCAGGGAAGTAAAGACGCTCAGCATCATAACATGCCAAGCTTACTAAAAGGCTACGTGACTCACCAGCAATCAGTAAGGCACACACTTTAAAATGGCTCTGAATATGGTGACAAACTTGTTCTCATGCAGCCTCATTCTGATCTCATATCCTAGGAATCCAATCTGATAAAACCCAGCCCATCTATCTCTAATAGATGGGGTGAGGTTCGCTTACGAGGGATAGAAAATACAATCCCAAATAACTGTGGATTATACCGTACAGAAATGTTTGTCTTTCCCAGTAAGATTTGTCTCTTCCACCACAGCAATTTTGCTCCAGGAAGTCCTTGGGACCCAGGCTCCTGTCAGCTCACCATTCTATCAGCCCACAGTTAAGACTGTGGCATGTGCATTCCAGACAGCAAGACTGAGAAAGGATCCTGAAGAAGAGAGACAAGGGCTGTCTCTTAGGGAAGGCTCCACATAAAACTAAGCTGCCACATGAAACTTACGCTTACTCTGCAATAGCCAGAACTCAGTCCCATGGCCATGAAAGATACAAGGACGCCTCTGTTCTTGGAAGTCATGTTCTGGTCAAAACTGGAGGATTCTATCACATTAGAAGAATGAGAAAACAGACACCTGGGGAAAACTACATTTTCTATCATGGGAACAGCACTCTATCCAAGTGAACTCAACAATTATAAATGAAGCTACTATAATTCTGAACAATGTACCACGGCTAAAAGTTGTCTTCATTCACTTTACTTACTCAATAAATTTAAGCCATTTTAAATTCCTACTATATGTTATTCCTTTAAGAGTTATCTCTAATAATTATGAACTTCATTTCACAAACACCATTGGTGAATAACAGAGTGTAGGGCTAGAGATACCACCAAAAAAACAACTTGATATTCATTTGATAAAAGGCAAATGCCTTGCTGATGTTTTTAGTTCAAGACATGATCGATTCCGTTTAGTAAAATATTTACCAACTTTAGGAATAAAGTATTCGATTCCCAAAACACAAACTTTCTTTCTCCTATTCTCTTTCAAGATAATGATAATACTAAGAAAATTTTAAAATCAGCTGATTTTATGAGGTATGGACATTTCATCTCAAAAGAGATGCAGGTATACCTAGATTCACTCAACCAACCCATGATAATTTTGTATAAGTTTCCTTCTCAGTCTTTCTTCATTTCATTAAACCCACCAATGTACATTAAATAGCTACACATTTGGAAGCCTCTTGAAATAGGTGGTTAGTTCACTTATTCAGAATTTCAACAAATATTTATCAAGCACCTGTTTGTTGACAATTTCCACGTGCTGGAGAGTGGACTCTCAAAAGAGTATGTAGCACAGGACTCAGCCTCCCCAAGACTTTTATATTCAAAAGGCATTGCTTCTGGTAAGTAGAAAACACAGTTATTCTCAGAACTAAAGGACTCCCTACTGTCTATCTGAGTATTGTCAATAGCTACCCAGTTCAGTCAGAACCAGATTCTCCAACTGTACCTAAACAAATTGCCAAGAAGTGCTAAGGCCTCCCCCAAAAAAGCCTGTTATAATAAGTTCTTTCAAATAACTTGTTAAAAATGATCTTACTACAGAATGTTATGCAGATAATTTGGGTAACATAACGCTAAGAGAATGAGTCAGAAGCATCATCACTCTTGTAACCTTGACCCTGAATTTGGTCTAAAACTTCTATACATTTTTAGTGGCATGTGAGAACAGATGCTATAACACCTGAAAATGGCAACACTTAAAATTCCTAGTAGCACAAAACCATTACTCTTCCCACTGGACCCCTTGAACTTTAATAATGTCTGACCTGGCTGGCCAATAAGTTCTAAAAGCAGACAGAAGAAAATTGCCAATATTAAATATTGCTGGAATGATTTGTCATTTAGAAAGATGTTACAGGTTCTCTTAAAAACAGGTCACCAATTCTGTGGACACTTAATTTTCTTAAGGCAGTAGCCTTTGCAGAGGGCAGGTATCCACCTTTGTTTAGGCAAATAGAATCTAGCTGAGAACTAGATTCATATATTCTTATTATCACTTACACATAAAGCAAACAAAAATACACACCCACATACACACTCACACGCAGTTATATACAAACCCATCCAAATAAAAGATAAAGTGTGGCAAAAGAAGTGGATGTGAAAGAAAGCTATTCTTTTTTCCCAAGATAAATGGCACAAAAGCCAACATCTCATTAACTATCCAAAGAAGATGATATACTACACAACTACGTCTAGATAATCATACATTAATAATTTTCACATTACACAACTGAAAAGATTTATAAAGGCACAATTTAAGAATCTACCTTGCTTAAGTCACTTAAAAGAAGCAAAGTGACAAGAGGAACAAGCAATTAGGTACTTCTCTACAACACCACAATTTGAAGTGACTTCCTACATGCCCCTTGCTTTAGTCAAATATCATTTCAACATGCAATTATCC